>NC_000010.11:94840064-95143095 GCF_000001405.40 Homo sapiens | reverse complement strand
CATAGCTCCTCCCTCACCCACCAAAATGAGTCACTTGGGGCAGTGGTGGGCAGATGATTTCAGATATCCTGATCTCAATTCCCTGATGTCAGTACGTCTGCACATTCTTTGTTTTTTTTTTTTCAACTTTTAAGTTCTGGAGTACACATACAGGATATGCAGGTTTGTTACATAAGTAAACATGTGCCATCGTGGTTTGCTGCAAAGATCATAGCATTACCTAGGTATTAAGCCCAGCATCCATTAGTTATTCCTCTTGAAGCTCTCCCTCCCCCAGCTCCCTGCTCCAAGAGGCCCCAGTGTGTGTTGCTTCCCTCTAGGTGTCCATGTGTTCTCATCATCAAGCTCCCACTAATAAGTGAGAACATGTGGTATTTTGTTTTCTGTTCCTGCATTAGTTTGCTGAGGGTGATGGCTTCCAACTCCATCCATGTCCCTGCAGAGGAGATGATCTCATTCCTTTTTATGGCTGTATAGTATTCCATGGTGTGTATGTACCACATTTTCTTTATCCAGTTTATCATTGATGGGCATTTAGGTTGATTCCATATCTTCGCTATTGCGAGTAGTGCTGCAATAAACATATGCATGCATATATCTTTATAATAGAATGATATATATTCCTTTGGATATATACCTACTAATGGGATTGCTGGGTCAAATGGTATTTCTGCCTCTGGATTTTTGAAAAATCACAACACTGTCTTTCACAGTGCAAACCACCGTGAAACTAATTTACACTCCCACCAACAGTGTAAAAGTTTTCATTTTTCTCCACAATCTTGCCAGCATCTGTTGATTTTTGACTTTTTAATAATAGCCATTCTGACTGGCATGACATGGTATGTCATGTATATCATTGTCATTTTGATTTGCATTTCTCTAATAATACACTTATTATTTAGGAGCTTTTTTTCATATATTTTTTGGCCGCATGTGTATATTTTAAGAAGTGTCTGTTCATGTCCTTCGCCACTTTTTAACAGTGTTATTTGTGTTTGTCTTTTAAATTTGTTTAAGTTACATGTAGCTTCTGGATATTAGACCTTTGTCCAATAGATAGATTGCAAAAATTGTCTCCCCTTCTGTAGGTTGTCTGTTCACTCTGATGATGGTTCCGTTTGCTGTGTGGAAGCTCTTAAGTTGGATTAAATTCCAGTCGTCAATTTCTGCTTTTGTTATAATTGCTTTTGGAGATTTCATCATGAAATCTTTGCCCATACCTATGTCTTCAACGGTATTGCCTAGATTTTCTTCTAGGGTTTTTATTTTAAATTTATACTTTAAGTTCTGGGGTACATGTGCAGAATATACAGGTTTGTTACATAGGTATAAATGTGCCATGGTGGTTTGCTGCACCTATCAACCCATCATCTATATTAGGTATTTCTCCTAATGCTCTCCCTCCTCTAGCCCCCGCTGTGTGTGATATGCCCCTCCCTGTGTCTATGTGTTTTCATTTTTCAACTCCCACTTATGAGTGAGAACATGTGGTGTTTGGTTTTCTGTTCCTGTGTTAGTTTGCTGAGAGTGATGGTTTCCAGCTTCATCATGTCCCTGCAAAGGACATGAACTCATCCTTTTTTATGGCTGCATAGTATTCCATGGCATATATGTGCCACATTTTCTTTATCCATTCTATCATTGATGGGCATTTGGGTTGGTTCCAAGTCTTTGCGATTGTGAATGGTGCCACAATAAAAATATATGTGTGTGTGTGTGTGTGTGTGTGTGTGTGTCTTTATCGGAGAATGATTTATAATCCTTTGGGTGTATACCCAGTAATGAGATTACTGGGTCAAATGGTATTTCTATGACCAGTGATGATGAGCTTTTTTTCATATGTTTGTTGGCTGTATAAATGTCCTCTTTTGAGAAGTGTCTGTTCTGATGGGGTTGTTCGTTGCTTGTAAATTTGCTTAAGTTCCTTGTAGATTCTGGATATTAGCCCTTTGTCAGATGGATAGATTGAAAAAATTTTCTCCCATTCTGTTTGTTGCCTGTTCACTCTGATGATAGTTTCTTTTGCTACATAGAAGCTCTTTAGTTTAATTAGACTCCATTTGTCAATTTTGGCTTTTGTTGCCATTGCTTTTGGTGTTTTCTCATGAAGTCCTTGCCCATGCCTATGTCCTGAATGGTATTGCCTAGATTTTCTTCTGTGGTTTTTAGGGTTTTAGGTCTTAAGTCCTTAATCCATCTTGAGTTAATTTTTGTATAAGGTATATGGAAGGAGTCCACTTTCAGTTTTCTGCATATGGCTAGCCAGATTTCCCAACACCATTTATTAAATAGGGTATGCTTTCCCCATTGCTTGTTTTTGTCAGGTTTGTCAAAGATCAGATGGTTGTAGATGTGTGGTGTTATTTCTGAGGCCTCTGTTCTGTTTCATTGGTCTATATATCTGTTTTGGTACCAGTACCATGCTGTTTTGGTTACTGTAGACTTGTAGTATAGTTTGAAGTCAGGTAGAGTGATGCCTCCAGCTTTGCTCATTTTGCTTAGGATTGTCTTGACTATGCAGGCCAAGACATACATTTCATATGGAATTTAAAGTAGTTTTTCCCAATTCTGTGAAGAAGGTCAATGATAGCTTGATGGGAATGGAATGGAATCAATAAATTACTTTGGGCAGTTTGGCCATTTTCACGATATTGATTCTTCCTATCCATGAGCATGGAATGTTTTTCCATTTGCTTGTGTCTTCTCTTATTTCCTTGAGCAGCTCTTAGCAGTCGTCCTTGAAGAGGTCCTTCACATCTCTTGTAAGTTGTATTCCTAGGTTTTTAATTCTCTTTGTAGCAATTGTGAATGGGAGTTCACTCATGATTTGGCTCTCTGTTTGTCTGTTATTGGCATGTAGGAATGCTTGTGATTTTTGCACATTGATTTTTTATCCTGAGAATTTGCTGAAGTTGCTTATCAGCTGAGGACACTTTGGGCTGATACGATGGGGTTTTCTAAATATACAATCATGTCATCTGCAAACAGAGACGATTTGACTTCCTCTCTTCCTATTTGAATACCCTTTATTTCTTTCTCCTGCCTGATTGCCCTGGCCAGAACTTCCAAAACTATGTTGAATAGGAGTGGTGAGAGAGGGCATCCTTGTCTTGTGCTGGTTTTCAAAGGGAATGCTTCCAGTTTTTGCCCATTTGATATGATATTGACTGTGGGTTTGTCATAAGTAGCTCTTATTATTTTGAGATACGTTCCATCAGTACTTAGTTTATTGAGAGTTTTTAGCATGAAGAGGTGTTGAATCTTGTCAAAGGACTTTTTTACATCTATCGAAATAATCATGTGGTTTTTGTCACTGGTTCTGTTTATGTGATGGATTACATTTATTGAATTGTGTATGTTGAACCAGCCTTGCATCCCTGGTATGAAGCCGACTTGATCATGGTAGATAAGCTTTTTGATGTGCTGCTGGATTCGGTTTGCCAGTATTTTATTGAGGATTTTCGCATTGATGTTCATCCAGGATTTTGTCCTGAAAACTTTTTTTCTTGTTTCTCTGACAGGTTTTGATATCAGGATAATGCTGGCTTCATAAAATGAGTTAGGGAGGTTTCCCTCTTTTTCTACTGTTTGGAATAGTTTCAGAAGGAATGGTATCAGCTCCTCTTTGTACTTCTGGTAGAATTCGGCTGTGAATCAGTCTGTTCCTGGACTTTTTTTGGTTGAAAGGTTATTAATTACTGCCTCAATTTCACAACCTATTATTTGTCTATTCAGGGATTTGACTTCTTCCTGGTTTAGACTGGGAGGGTGTATGTGTCCAGGAATTTATCCATTTCTTCTAGATTTTCTAGTTTATTCATGTAGAGGTGTTTATAGTATTCTCTGATGGTAGTTTGTATTTCTGTGGGATCAGTGGTGATATCCCCTTTATCATTTTTTATTGTGTCTATTTGATTCTTCTCTCTCTTCTTCTTTATTACTCTGGCTAGCGGTCTATCTATTTTGTTGATCTCAAAAAAACAGGTTCTAGATTCATTTATTTTTGGAGGGTTTTTTGTGCCTCTATCTCCTTCAGTTCTGCTCTGATCTTAGTTATTGTCTTCTGCTAACTTTTGAATTTCTTTGCTGTTGCTTCTATAGTTCTGTTAATTGTGATGTTAGGGTGTCAATTTTATATCTTTCCTGCTTTCTTTTGTGGGCATTTACTGCTATAAATTTCCCTCTACACACTGCTTGAAATGTGTCCCAGAGATTCTGGTACATTGTGTCTTTGTTCTGATTGGTTTGAAAGAATGTCTTTATTTCTGCCTTAATTTCATTATTTACCCAGTAGTCATGCAGGTTGTTCAGTTTCCATGTAGTTGTGCAATTTTGAGTGAGTTTCTTAATTCAGAGTTCTAATTTGATTTCACTGTGGTCTGAGAGAATGTTTGTTATGATTTCCATTCTTTTGCATTTGCTGAGGAGTGTTTTACTTCCCATTATGTGGTTGATTTTAGAATAAGTGCAATGAGGTGCTAAGAAGAATGTATATTCTGTTGATTTGGGGTGGAGAGTTCCATAGATGTCTATTAGGTCTACTTGGTCCAGAGCTAAGTTCAAGTCCTGAATATCCTTGTTAATTTTCTGTCTTGTTGATCTGTCTAATATTGACAGTATGGTGTTAAAATCTCCCACTATTATTGTGTGGGAGTCTGTGTTTCTTTGTAGGTCTCTAAGAACTTGCTTTATGAATCTGGGTGCTCCTGTATTGGGTGCTTATATATTTAGGATTGTTAGCTCTTCTTGTTGAATTGATCCCTTTACCATTATATAATGGCCTTCTTTGTCTCTTTTGATCTTTGTTGGTTTAAAGTCTGTTTTATCAGAGACTAGGATTGCAACCCCTGCTTTTTTTTGCTTTCCATTTGCTTGGTAAATATTCCCCGATCCCTTTATTTTTAGCCTATGTGTGTCTTTTTCACATGAGATGGTTCTCTGAATACAGCACACAGATGTGTCTTGACTCTTTATCCAATTTGCCAGCCTGGTGGTGATGACAAAATCTCTCAGCATTTGTTTGTCTGTAAAGGCTTTTATTTCTCCTTCACTTATGAAGCTTAGTTTGGCTGGATATGAAATTCTGGGTTGAAAATTCTTTTCTTTAAGAATGTTGAATATTGGCCCCCCTCTCCTCTGGCTTGTAGGGTTTCTGCAGAGAGATCCACTGTAAGTCTGCTGGGCTTCCCTTTGTGGATAAACCAGACTTTCTCTCTGGCTGTCCTTAATATTTTTTCTTTCATTTCAACCTTGGTGAATCTGACAATTATGTGTCTTGGGGTTGCTCTTCTCAAGGAGTATCTTTGTGGTGTTCTCTGTATTTCCTGAATTTGAATGTTGGGCTTTCCTGCTAGGTTGGGGGAATTCTCCTGGATAATATCCTGAAGAGTGCTTTCCAACTTGGTTTCATCACTCCATCACTTTCAGGTACAGCAATGAAATGTAGATTTGGTGTTTTCACATAGTCTCATATTTCTTGGAGGCTTTCTTCATTCCTTTTTATTTTTTTCCTCTAACCTTGTCTTGTCACTTTATTTTATTAAGTTGATATTCAATCTCTGATATCCTTTCTTCCACTTGATTGGTTTGGGTATTGATACTTGCGTATGCTTCACGAAGTTCTTGTGCTGTGTTTTTCAGCCCCATCAGGTCATTTATGTTCTTCTCTAAATTGGTTATTCTAGTTAGCAATTTGTCTAACCTTTTCTCAAGGTTCTTAGCTTCCTTGCATCGGGTTAGAACATGCTCCTTTAGCTGAGAGGAGTTTGTTATTACCCATCTTCTGAAGTCTGTCAATTCATCAAACTCATTCTCCATCCAGTTTTGTCCCCTTGCTGGTGAGGAGTTGTGATCCTTTGGAAGAGAAGAGGCATTCTGGTTTTTGGAATTTTCAGGCTTTTTGCACTGGGTTCTCCCCATCTTTGTGGATTTATCTACCTTTGGTCTTTGATGTTAGTGATCTTCCGATGGGGTCTCTGACTGAACGTGCTATTCCTTTTTGCTTGTTAGTATTCCTTCTAACAGGCCCTTCTGCTGCAGGTCTGCTGGTGTTTGCTGGAGGTCCACTCCAGACCCTGTTTTCCTGGGTATCACCGGCAGCGGCTGCAGAACAGCAAAGATTGCTGCCTGTTCTTTCCTCTGGAAGCTTTGTCCGAGAGGGGCACCTGCCAGATGCCAGCCAGAGCTCTCCTATATGAGGTGTATGTTAGGCCCTACTGGGAGGTGTCTTCCTGTCAGGATACACGGGGGTGAGCGACCCACTTGAGGAGGCAGTCTGACCCTTAGCAGAGCTTGAACACTGTGCCAGGACATCTGCTGCTGTCTTCAGAGCCATCAGGCAGGGACATTTAACTCTGCTGAAGTTGTGCCCACAGCCACCCCTTCCCCCCAGGTACTCTGTCAGCCCCTGACTTCGACTGCTGCCTTATTTTCAGAGATGCCCTGCCCAGAGAGAAGGAATCTAGAGAGGCAGTCTGGCCACAGTGGACTTGCTGAGCTGTGGTGGGCTCCGCCCATTTCTAACTTCCCAGTGGCTTTCTTTACACTGTGAGGGTAAAACTGCCTACCCATGCTTCACCAATGGCAGACATCCCTCCCCTCACCAAACTTGAGCTTCCCAGGTCAACCTCAGACTGCTGTGCCTACAGCGAGAATTTCATGCCAGTGGATCTTAGCTTGCTAGGCTCCATTCAAGTGGGACCCACCAAGCTATACCACTTGGCTCCCTGGCTTCAGTCCCCTTTCCAGGGGAGTGAATGGTTCTGTCTCAGTGGCATTCCAGGTGCCACCGTGTTATGAAAAAAAACTGCGGCTAGCTCAGTGTCTGCCCAAACGGCTGCCCACTTTTGTGCTTGAAATCCAGGGTCCTGGTGGTGTAGGCACTGGAGGGAATCTCCTGGCCTGGGGGTTGTGAAGACCATGGGGAAAACAGTATCTGGGTCGGAGTGCATCATTCCTCATGGCGCAGTCCCTCATGGCTCCCTTTGGGTAGGGGTGAGAATTCCCCGACGTTTTGCACTTCAAGGGTGAGGCGATGTCCCACCCTGCTTCTGCTCTCCCTCCATGGGCTGCACCCACTGTCCAACCAGTCCCATTGAGATGAACCAGGTGCCTCAGTTGGAAATGCAGAAATCACCACCTTCTGTGTCAGTCTCGCTGGGAGCTGCAGACTGGAGCTCTTCCTATTCAGCCATCTTGCCAGAAGTCCTCCATTTTTTTACATTGGTAGAGTATAACCCTCATTGACAAAATCAACCTTCTGTCAGAATAACACCTCATTCTCTGAGGCAAATGTACTTGTAACAGGCATAATAGAGCATCTGGCATGTTAGAAGTGTTGTAGATCTTGATGTGAATGGTGTTTATGAAAGTTTATACACGTGTAAATATTCATTAATGTTTATACTTAATATGATTGCTCTTAACTGCATTTATTTTATATTTCAACAGAGCAAAAGAAAACATGAAAGAACTAGATATGCAAAAAAATAAAATGACATACCAAGTATAGTGGTGCATGCCTGTAGCCCTAGCTTCTTGGGAAGCTGAGATGGGAGCATTGCTTCTGCTTAGGCATTTGAGTTATGCCTGGGTAACATAGGGAGACCCCATGTCTAAATAGAAATAAAAACAAGACACATAGAGAAGTTTGAGAATAAAATATAGACAACAGAATAAAACCCCACATTAACATAAATCTTGGAATTCTCTGAAAGTTGTATAACAGTAAATGTTACTACATATATATAGAAATAAATTCAAAGGTAAATAATACCAGCATAACAATATAAAATATTTTAAAATATTAAATGAACATTTTGCAACTAAAAATACACTAACTATAGCGAATTGCTTAATGAATGGGTTTAATACCAGATATTTCATAGCTAAATAATTCATAAATTGGAAAATAAATGAGAAAACAACATACAGTCTTAAGAAAAAAATATAGAGAAAAGGCAATGAAGAAGCTTATAGAGCTTAGGTTGAAATTAGACTTCCCAAGGAGAGATAAGATAGAATGGAGAAGAAGCTATTGAACAGATAAACACCTGGAATTTTTCAGAGCAGATTAAAGATATTGGGTTACATATTGGAGGAGAACTATGAGCCTGAAACCAGATATAAGAAAACATGTTTAGGCAGAAAATATTCAAAAGACTATAAAACACATATTAAAGAAAGTTCCTAAAAATTGAAAGAGAACAAAATGCATTTCCTTTCAAAGTAACAATACTATTGCTAACTTCTAAATAAAAGCAATGAAATTCAGAAGATGATAGAATAATATCATCTAAATGCTAAAAGGAAATAACTGCCAGTCTATAATACTTTATCCAGCAAAAAAAATTCTTTAATGATGAAGAAAAGAAAACCAGACAGGACTTCGATAAGAAAATACAGGACTTGAACAATACTATAATCAGTTGGACCTAACAGACACATGCAAAGCACTCCACACAACAGTAACAAAAAACCACATTTTTCTCAATGCATATGGAAACTTCTCCAAGATGCAACATATGTTAGTAATATATGAGTTTTAAAAAGTTATTTAGGCAGATAGTGAGAGCACAGGAGTCCTCAGTAAGGTTTTCCTTTTAATGAAAAGCAGCCCAAAATACTTTCTTTTCCTACAAATAGCAGACTGTAAAATGACTTGCAGACATAGAGAAACAAGCTGGAAGCTTGCACTGGTGAATGCCATCAGTTGTGCTAATAAGAAAAGGCTGCCTGGGACTGGGCACATTCAAAATGTCAGTTCCATCTTCCCTTCTCTTTGCCAGCCACATGTACAGTAAGGAGCAGGGAACATGGCATTAGTCAAGCAAAGATCCCATTTGCATAATAAGACGATTAGGATGGGATGGCCAGCTTCCCCATGCACTATGTAAACCTCACCCCTGGTCCAACCAATCTGTGGGCTCTATGTAAATTAGACACTGCTTCCTCAAGCCTGTCTGTAAAATCTGGTTCACTCTGCCATGGGGCAGAATTCTTATTTGGACGCCCCCTCTCTCACAAGAGAGAGAGCTATTCTCCTTTCTCTTTCTTTGGAAATAAAACTTCTACTCCTAAACTCACTCCTTGTGTGTGTCCATGCCCTTAGACTTCTTGTTGCAAGACGATGAACCTCAGGTATTTACCTTAGACAACAATGCATCTTCATACTGGGGGTGTGTCCAGGATCCCAAGGTACTTTCATTGGAATGTTGAATACAGGAGTGAAACTCAACTCTGTCCTTTCATTTCAAGGCTCTCAGCCTCCATTTTAGAATCAAATCATACCAAATACTGGGCTCCCTTCAGTCATTTAAAAATAATTAGCATGGCTGCCAGCTTTACAAGACATGGGGGAGAGGCTTGCTGGGGAAAACATGTAGAATCCCCCAGTACCCACACGTTGCTGGGCATATTGGCCATGTTTGAACCAGTTTTCTTTCAGAGGACCTAGCAATTGAATGGGGCTGGAAAAAGTTCTGAAGCAACTGAGGATTTCTGGCGGAAGCTACTCCCTGGTGTTGTTCAAAGGATTTGGACTGACCTCATCCTCTGACTGCCTGACAGAGTGTCAGCAACAGGATCTCCAGCTTTCATACTATAATTTCCTCCATTCCTGTCTGCAACCACCATGTCTCCCATCCTCTCTCTCTTTGTATGCAATGCCACAGCAATTTTACAGTTCAGGGAAGTAATCTTGTTAGGTAAGATCAGGAAATGCCATAGTAACTGAAGGTGTAGCTCAAGGGAATGCCGTTGTAATTTTCTAGGAATAGAGGGTCCCTCATCACAGTGAAGTCACTCTCTGCCCTTGGTCTGGAGAGCATATGGCATTTCCAGGTAACACTCTACCCTTGTCTGGAGAGCACATGGCATTTGAAGTTCACTCTCTGCCCTTGGTATGGAGAGCACATGACATGTCATGGTCACCCTGTGCCCTTAGTCTAGAGATCACATGGCATTTCAAGGTCAACAGCGCCACCTAGTGGGATGGGAATTCTCTCCATGAAGCACATTGTTGGTCCTCTGCCAAAACACTCTAGCCTCCAAATTCTCCTCCCTTTTTGTGCCCCTCTGCTAGAGACCAGGCTTCATGCTGCTTCTGTGAACAGGAAAACTCTGCCTTCAACAACAATTAGGAGTAAAATGTCCTCCAAAGACAAAGTTGTTTAGTTTCGATACTGTCCCATCAACTAGAAAACTGCCATTTGGTCCCTATGTTCTTTTAAGGCACCTATTCTGCCTCCAATTAAAATGGTACTGAAATAGTAAGGGGATTTTTTTTCTTTTTCTTTTTTAATTAAATTAATTATACTTTAAATTCTAGGGTACATGTGCACAACGTGCAGGTTTGTTACATATGTATACATGTGCCATGTTGGTGTGCTGCACCCATTAACTCGTCATTTACATTAGGTATATTTCCTAATGCTATCCCTCTCCCCTACCCCCACCCCATGACAGGCCCCAGTGTGTGATGTTCCCCTTCCTGTTCCAAGTGTTCTCACTGTTCAATTCCCACCTATGACTGAGAACATGTGGTGTTGGGTTTTTTGTTCTTGTGATTGATAGTTTGCTGAGAATGATGGTTTCCAGCTTCATCCATGTCACTACAAAGGACATGAACTCATCCTTTTTTATGGCTGCATAGTATTCCATGGTGTCTATGTGCCACATTTTCTTACTCCAGTCTATCATTGATGGACATTTGGGTTTGTTCCAAGTCTTTGCTATTGTAAATATACGTGTGCATGTGCCTTTATAGCAGCATAATTTATAATCCTTTGGGTATACGCCCAGTAGTGGAATGGCTGGGTCAAATGATATTTCTAGTTCTAGATCCTTTCTGCACAGCAAAAGAAACTACCATCAGAGTGAACAGGCAACCTACAGAATGGGAGAAAATTTTTGCAACCCTCTTGTCTGACAAAGGGCTAATATCCAGGATCTACAGAGAACTCAAACAAATTTACAAGAAAAAAAACAAACAACCCCATCAACAAGTGGGCAAAGGATACGAACAGACACTTCTCAAAAGAAGACATTTATGCAGCCAACAGACACATGAAAAAATGCTCATCATCACTGGCCATCAGAGAAATGCAAACCAAAACCACAGTGAGATACCATCTCACACCAGTTAGAATGGCAATCAGCAAGGGGATTTCAAGTTTGGAAGTTAATTGGAACCATTCTCTAAGGGTAAACGCTTTAACATGGGCCATAATAAGCAGGATATAGAGTTCAATCTAGCATGCACTATCCATTAAAGGAGCCTTGCTCAAATGCAAATATTATAGTTTTTCCCAAGATCCATCCTTCTAGGAGCCACAGAGGCCACATAAGTCTAGGAAGTCAAAGGGAAATCACAAGTGGAGGACTAGAGTCACATGGGTAAGCATGACTAATCTCAATTGCTTAGTTCCTCTGGTCCTGTATTTTTAAATGGCTGCAGGGTTGCAAGAATGCAGCCATGGGCAGCACATTAAATAAGGTGCTGGTACTCAGGAGCCAAGGAGGGAAATCAGTAGGTGGAGCATGCCACCACTGTCTTCCCCTCCACCCTAGGTCACACCAATAGGAAGGAGACTAAAGGGACATCTTTTTCATGCTTCCATTTCTAGATGAGTAACAGATCATCTTCGGCCTGTAGTCCTCTGGAGTGCATTTGAAAACACTGGGACTCTTTTTACCCTGAGATATGAAGAAAAGTGGCTTTTTTTTTCCCACAAAGGTGTGGCCTTCTTACCCACTTGAAACAGCCTAAACTGTGGAAGGAAGCTTTAATTTAAATTGTGTCCAAGAATTAGATCTTTTCTCCATATGGGAGGGAAAATGGCCCAAGGTCCATTATATACAAGATTTCTTTGCCCTATGAGAAAACCCAGACCTTTGCAAGCATTGCACAATTCACCCAGCCCTTCTAGCAATCATATCAGGAAGGCCCAAAGGGAATGATTCCCCAAGACTAGAAAAGCAACTTCCAGAGTGTATTAGTCTGTTTTTCACACTGCTGATAAAGATGATATACCCAAGACTAGGCAATTTACAAAAGAAAGAAAGAGGTTTAATTGGACTCACAGTTTCACATGGCTTGGGAGACCTCACAATCATGGTGGAAGGCAAGGAGGAGCAAGTCATATCTTACATGGATGGTGTCAGGCAAAGAGAAGAACATGTGCAGGGAAATTCCTCTTTTTAAAACTATCAGATCTCATGACACTTATTCACTATGACAAGAACAGCACAGGAACAACCTGCCCCCATGATTCAATTACCTCCCAGCAGGTCCCTCCCACAATACATGTGAATTCAAGATGAAATTTGTGTGGGGACACAGCCGAACCATATAATTCCACCACTGGTCCCTCCCAAATCTCCTGTCCTAACATTTCAAAACCAATGATGCCTTCCCAACAGTCCCCCAGAGTCTTAACTCATTTTAACATTAACTCAAAAGTACATAGTCCAAAGTCTGAAGTCTCATCTAAAACAAGGCAAGTCCCTTCTGCCTATGAGCCTGTAAAATTGAAAGCAAGTTAGTTACTTCCTAGATACAATGGGGGTACAGGCATTTCATAAATACAGCCATTCCAAATGGGAAACATTGACCTAAACAAATGGGCTTCAGGCTGCGGGGAAGTCTGAAGTCCAGTGGGGCAATCAAATCTTAAAGCTTCAAAATGATCTCCTTTGACTCCATGTCTCACATCCAGGTCACACTGATGCAAGAAGTGGGTTCACAAGATCTTGGTCAGCTCCACCCATGTGTCTTTGCAGAGTAAAGCCTCCTTTCTGGCTGCCTTAATTGGCTGAAGTTGAGTGACCATGAATTTTCCAGGTGCATGGTGCAAGCTGTTGGTGAATCTACCACTCTAGGGTCTGAAGGACAGTGGCCCTCTTCTCACAGCTCCACTAGGCAGTGCCCCAGTAGGGATACTGTTTGGGGGCTCCAACCCTACATTTGTCTTCTGCACTGCCCTAGCAGAGGTTCTCCATGACAGCCCCATCTCTGCAGCAAACTTCTGCCTGGACATCCAAGCATTTCCATACATCTTCTGAAATTTAGGTGGAGGTTCCCAAACTCCAGTTCTTGACTTCTGTGCACTGGCAGGCTCAACATAATGTGGACAAGGCTTGAGGCTTACACCCTCTGAAGCCACAGCTTGAGTTCTTTATTGGTCCCATTCAGCCATGGCTGTAGTGGCCAGGATGCAGGGCACCAGTCCCTAAGCTGCATAAAGCATGGGGACCTCAAGCCCAGCCCACAAAACCACTTTTTCTTTGTAGGACTCTGGACTTGTGTCAAGAAGGGCTGCTGTGAAGGCCTCTGAAATGCTCTAGAGACATTTTCCCCATTGTTTTGGGGATTAACTTTTGACTTCTCATTACTTATGTAAATTTATGCTGCTGGATTGGATTTCTCCTCAGAAAATAGGATTTTCTTTTCTATTGCATTGTCAGGCTACAAATTTTCTGAACTTTTATGCTCTATTTCCCTTTTAAAACTTAATGCCTTTAACAGCACCCAAGTCACCTCTTGAATGCTTTGCTGCTTAGAAATTTCTTTTGCCAGATAACTTAAATTCTCTCTCTCAGGTTCAAAGTTTCATGAATATCTAGGGTAGAGGCAAAAAGCTGCCAGTCTCTTTGCTAAAACATAACAAGAGTCACCTTTGTTCCAGTTCCCAAGAAGTTTATCTCCATCTGAGACTACCTCAGCCTGGGCCTTATTGTTCATATCACTATCAGCATTTTTGTTAAAGCCATTCAACAAGTCTCTGGAAGGTTTCAAACTTTCCCACATTTTCCTGTCTTCTTCTGAGTCCTCCAAACTGTTCTAACCTCTGCCTGTTACCCAGTTTCAAAGTTGCTTTCACATTTTGGGGTATCTTTTCTGTAGTGCCCCACTCTACTGGTACTAATTTACTGAATTAGTCCATTTTCACACTGCTGATAAAGACATACTTGAGACTGGGAAGAAAAAGAGATTTTAATGGAATTACAGTTCCACGTGGTGGGGGAGGCCTCACAATCATGGAAGAAGGCTAGGAGGAGCAACAGGCCAAAAAGGCTTGTGCAGAGAAACTCCCATTTTTAAAACCATCAGATCTCGTGAGACTTATTCACTATCACAAGAACAGCACAGGAAACACCTGACCCTATGATTCAATTACCTTTCACCAGGTCCCTCTCATAACACCTGGGAATTCAGGATGAGATTTGGGTGGGGACACAGCCAAACCATATCATGGAGAAATCATCTATTGAGTGTTACAGCCCTTCCAATCCCCCTTACCTGGGGCAACCTCCCACTGCACCACCAGGTGCTCTACCCCCACCACCTTAAAAACTCCCCATTTCTGCACCTTCACACTTATGCCTACAGGTAATGCCCAACAGAGGTGATGCCACAAGGGTTCAAGCTCCCTTCTTATTGCAGGACCTTAGGCAAATAAAGGGAGACTTAGGCAGATTTTTTATGACACTGTTAGGTATATAGAAGCTTTCCAAAACCTAACTCAGGTGTTTGACCTCTTGTGGAGGGATGTTATGCTGCTCCTAATCCAAACCCTAACCACAGTGAAAAGCAGGAAGCTCTGCAGGCAACAGAGAAATTACGAGATGAGCAGTATGTCTTCTATAGTAGGCCAAAAAGGAAAAGAGAAAATAAATAGGGAAGGTGAAGAAATAGGGGAAAAGCCATTCCCAATAAGAAGAGGGGCAATACCTCTTGACAACCTTAATTGGAACTTCAGTGACACCACAGATGAATGAAAAAGAAAACAGTTTCTAATGTGCATATTGGAGGGCCTAGAAAGAATTAGGGCCAAAGATCTTAATTACTCCAAACTGTCTATGATAGACCAAAAGCCAGATGAGAATCCCACAGCCTTTATGGAAAGACAGACAGGCACTAATAAAACACACCTCCTTATTCCCCAATTCAGTTGAGGGACAGCTCATCCTGAAGGACAAGTTTATTACACAGGAAGATCCTGATATTAGAAGGAAACTACAGAGGCAGGTTATAGGACCAGATAGCACCTTGAAGAACCTCCTGAGGGTGGCCACCATTGTCTTTTATTATAGGGACCAGAAGGAGGTCCAGGAGAAAGAGAGGAAGTAAAAGAGAAGAACAGAGGCTCTAGTAACTGCTTTGCAAACTTGCAAAGTCCAGAATCCCTGAGGTGCATCCATTAGTTGCTATCAGTGCAGCAAGTCAGGGCACTTTAAGGAGTGCCCAGGCAGCAAGAAGAAACCACCATGACCCTGTCCAGAATGTGATGGGGATCACTGGAAATTGGATTGTCCCTGGAGATAAAGGTCACTGGGTTCAGAACCAATCTCACAGGTGATCCAACTGGGCTGATATGTCCTGGGGCTCAAACCTCTGGCTCCAGGAGCTCAAATGCCACTACAGCACAGGAGCCCCAGGTGATTCTGGAAATTGAAGGAAGAAAGGTAGACCTCCTTCTGGACACTACAGCAAGCCTCTCTCTTCTTCTTTCTAATCCAGGCCTCCCATCTTCCCATAACTGTGAGGGGCACCTCAGAAAAAACTCTAATCTGTTATTTTTCTTAACCCCTTAGTTGCAGTTGGGGGGAACCTATTAGTTACACATGCCTTTTCAATCACACCTGAAAGTCCCACTCCTTTATTAGGTAGAGACATTTTGGTTCACATGGGGGACAAACTCTTTGTCTCCCCCTGGTAGAAGCTAATATCAATCCAGAAGTGTGAGCAACAAGGAAGAGTAGGTTGAGCAGTAACCACTAGGCCAGTCCAGATCCATCTTAATGATCCCACTTATTTTCCCAACCAAAGACAATACCCCCTAAAGCCAGAGGCTAGGAAAGGGCTAGAAGCCATTATTAAAAACCTGAAGATGCAGGACCTTTTCAAACACTGTAACAGCCCCTGCAACACCCCAATATTAGGAAGGCAAAATCCCAATGGGGAATGGAGACTACTTCAGGACCTCTGCCTCATTAATGAGGTGGTAGTCCCAATTTATCCAGTAATACCTATTCCCTAATACTGTGCTGACCCAAATACCTCAGGGAACTAAATGATTTGCAGTCCTAGGTTTAAAGGATGCCTTTTCTGTATACCATCACATCCTGACTCTCAATACCTGCTTGTCTTTGAAGATCCCTCTGGCCAAATTGCCCAGTTAACATGGATAGCGCTGCTTAGGGATTTTGAGACAATCCTCTTTTGTTTGGACAGGCTCTATCAAAAGACCTCTCTGAGGTTTTCCATCCTCAGGTCAGGGTCTTGCAATATGTGGATGATATACCACTCTGTGCCCCACCTGAGGAAGCTTCCCAGGAAAGCACTGAAGTTCTTAATTTATTAACTAACAGAAGATATAAGGTTTCAAAATATAAGGCCCAGCTTTGCAAAATCTCAGTGAAGTACTTGGATGTAGTTCTGTCTGAAGGGACCAGAGCATTAGGGGAAGAAAGGATTAAGCCCATTTTTTCCTTTTCCCTCCTCAAAACCCTAAAGCAACTAAGAAGATTTTTGGGCATTACAGGATTTTGCAGGCTATGGATACCTGGGTATGGTGAGATAGCTTATCCTCTATATCACCTCATAAAGAAACTCAAGTGGCTAAAACTCCTCTCTTAATCTGGGAACCTGAAGCTCAAAAGGCCTTTAACCAGTTACAACAAGGCTTGCTTAAGGCACCAACCCTCAGTCTTTTCATAGGGCCTTCAATCTGTATGTATCAGAAAGGAAGGGAATGGCCCTGGGAGTTTTAATGCATGCCTGAGGACAGCTCAACAGCCAGAGATTTATCTGAGTGAGAAATTTAATTTGGTGGCTAAAGGATAGCCAGCATGCCTCTGAGATATTGCCATGGTGGCCCTACTGGTCCCAGAAGCCTCCAAATTAATCCTGGGAAAGGATTTAACTGTTTACACCCCACATAATGTGGCAGGATTACTCTCCTCCAGGGAACATTTAGCTAACAGATAGCCAGCTCCTTAAATATCAAGCTGTCTTGTTAGAGGGTTCCACCATCCAGGTAAAAACTTGCTCTTGCCTAAACCCAGCCACTTTTCTCCCTGAGGAAACAGGGAAACCTGAGCATGACTTAAACAGGTTGTGGTACAGACCTATGCAGCCAGGGAGGATCTCAGAGAAACTTTCCTAGAAAATCCAGACCGGACCCTCTTTATGGATGGAAACTCCTTTGTGGAGCAAGGAGTCCATAAGGTGGGATATGCAATAATCACTCTGAATTATGCAATTGAAAGTGCATCTCTTGCTTCAGGCCTAAGCACTCAACTAGTTGAACTGAAAGCCCTTATAAGAGCACTTGAATTAAGTAAGGGAAAGGTAGCTAACATTTACACTCACATCAAGTATGCTTTCTTAGTTATCCATCATGCTCATGCTGCCATTTGGAAGGAAGGACACTTTTGTACTGCCAATAGATCCCCTATAAAATACCAACAGGAAATTAACAGTTTTCCTTCCACAAGAGTTTGCAGAGATGCATTGTAAGGGACATAAGAAAGGAGTAGATAAAATACCCAGTGGAAACATGTTAGCTGATCAGGCAGCCAAGTCAGCAGCAAGGAAGCCTCAGGACATCAGCACACTTCAAGGCCCTTTAATCTGGGAAGGCTTCATAATAAATTAAACCTCAGTACTCCCCTGCAGAAATGGAATGGGGCACTTCTTTAGGGTACACTCTCCAGTCCTCAGAATGGCTACAATCAGGATGGCAAGCTCCATTTGCCAGCCTCCAGCCAATGGAAAATCCTTAAACTCCTTCACCAAGCTTTTCACTTGGGAAAGGATAAAATTTATCACTGTTTCCAGAGATTGTTTTCAGGAAAGAGCTTATTAAGAACAGTCAAACAGGATGTTAATTGTTGTAAAGTCTGTCTTAAAAATAATTCCCTCAACAGATGGCTCCTTCCTTCTCAAATCCAAAGGATGGGAAACTACCCAGGGGAGGACTGGCAAATTGACTTCACCTACATGCCAAAGATGAAGGGCATCCAATACCTCCTGGTATTGGTAGATATTTCCACTAACTAGGTAGAAGCACTTCCATGCCATACAGAAAAATCCTGAGGTAATAAAAGTGTTAATTAATGAAATTATTCCTTGTTTTGTCTACCTAAGTACCTCTAAGTGACAACAGCCCCTCATTTAAGGCAGCAGTCACACAGGGCATCTCAAAGGCACTAGACATACAGTATAATCTCCATTGTGCTTGGAGACCTCAGTCCTCAGGAAAGGTAGAGAAGACAAGTGATATCATCAAAAGACATCTCAGGAAACTGTCTCATGAAACCCACCTTCCTTGGGTCACTATTCTTCCCATGGCTTTACTGTGAAAATTAACTCAACTAGCAGAAGCCCAACCGCAAGAAACAGGACCACCTTTATTTAACTCAGAAGATTTGGTGTTGGTAAAAGCTCTCCCTTCCCTCTCTACTTCCCTATGCCTAATCTAGGAAGGGCCCTGAATTGCTCTTCTTTCAATCCCCTCCACAGTAGAAGTTACAGATATCAGCTCCTGGATACATCATACTAAAGTCAAAGCCTGGAAAACCAAGAGAGCAACCCCTGACAACCTAGAGGAATGTCCTGGAGATTAATGTGAAGAACTAGGAGATTTCAAGCTGAAAATCATAAAAGATAAGTAAATGAGTAAGGGCTACTCATCCTACTTAGTCCCATGTTTACCTTACCAGATACATTTAGTCATTTCTACTTTTCCTCTTGAGAGTCACTACCAGGTTTTAAAACATATTTTGATGCATACTTGCAGGGAGATTTTTAATTATTCATGAAATTGCATTTGTAACTTCATAGACACCCAAAGGGAAATGTTATGTCTTGGTGAGTAAAATTTTAAATGTAAATTATCTACTACACCACACTTTCAGGAATTGCTGTACTTGCTCTACTATTTGCAGTGTGACTATATACTGTAGCACCTTCTAACTAGAAAATCAGACAGTTTCTATTGTTGTAGTATTTTGCTTAATTATTATCCTTATAGCAGAGATAATATTTACCAACAAAAAGGAAGCACAAAACTTTTACTATCACTGAGTCTGCTAGAATTTTTTATTGAGTTTGGCCACCATAGCTATGCAAAGAAGGTTATAAAGGAAAGAGATTTTATATAAGAAAGGATATTTTAGGGGAGGTAAATTCTTGTCCTAAAGAGAATAACTGATTGTTTAAAAAGCGGCATGTTTAGGACAAGTGAGAAAGTTTAAGCATTTTCTAGATGGTATGTGGAAGTCTTGAAAGAATTAATAATTGCAGGAGAGATTTAGCCAAGGTTAACACTAAAGTTACTCTAGCCACAGAATAATGTATTTCTCCCAATCATATCACAAATTATAAAAGATGACCTAGACCTAAAATTATTCCTTAATGGCAAGTCAAGCAGGGAATATAAGTTTTTCTCAAAAAAAAATTGTTGCTTTCATATTAAACTCTCAATTGGGAGAGAAGCCCACACTTTTAGAGCAGTGAGAGGGAGCATGGCTGCAATCATGAGGAAATACAGAGAAGCCATGTGGCCAAGCAAGAATCTGCCTACTGACGATCACACTTCAGTTCCATCAAGGGGTCACAGTCCAAAACTTCAACACCAAAAATACTTTGCTAAAATACCCCCTGTGAATCCAAGGACAAATTTTCAGCTGCAAATAAGACTCTGCACAAAGCATTGGCCCTGTTAAAACATTCAGAAAAGAAGTCTACTGACTGTGCTCAATTTACACTGCAGTTAAAGGAATACCAGCCCACACAGATGAGAAAGAACCAGAGTTTCCAAAAACTCTGGAAATTCAAAAAGCCAGAGTATCTTTTTTTTCTCCAAACAACCACACTAATTCTCAGCAAGGGTTCTTAACCAGGCTGAAATGGCTGAATTGACACATATACAATTTATAATATGGATAGGAATAAACATCATTGAGATTCAGGATACAGTCAACACCCAATCCAAAGAATATAAGGATTACAATAAAATAATACAGAAACTGATGGACAAAATATCCACTATAAAAAAAAGAACCAACATGATCTGATAGAGCTGAGATATACACACAAAAATTTCATAATGCAACCACAAGTATTAACAGGAAGCATAAGGGAGCTTCTGTGGTCCTGGGATTATTTTTTTCTTGGCCTGTTTGTTGGCTAAACAGATATATTTGCTTTGCGATAATTCATTGAGCCATATATTTAGGACATATGCAACAATCTCTATGTATTTTATTCTTCAATGGAAATGGTTATTTAAAAATAAACAACTTGACAGGGGGTGGAGCCAAGATGTCCAAATAGAAACAATGGCAGTCAGAGGCTCCCAACCAGAAGAATAAAAACAGCATGAGAATCTTGCATCAGCAACCAAGGTATCCAGGTTCTATCATCAGAATTGACTAAGCAGTTGGCATCACCCATGGAGAGCCAGGAAAAGCAGGGTGGTGGGTTGCCCCACCTGAGAGCTACATGGGGCAAGGAGAACCCCAACTCCCAACGAAGGGAAGTGGTGAGTGAGCAAGCTACCCAGCCTGTGAAACAGTGCTTTTTCCATTGGTCTGTATAACCCACAGTTCAGAAGACCCCACTTGTGATCCCACACTACCAGGGCCTTGGGTCTCAACCATAGAACTACACAGATTCTCAACAGCAACTCAGCTGGAATCTGCCTAAGATTACCAAGTTCCCAGAAGGAGGGGCAGCCATCATCACTGCAGCTCCCTGTTGTCTAAGCCATTTGAACTCCCTGGGGGAGGGGTGGCAGCCATCAATGCAGCTACTGCCTGCCTAAGAAAACTGAACTCCCTGGGGGAGACATGGCAGCCACCACTGTGGCTGCTAGCTGCCTAAGACACTGAACTCCTTGCGGGGGATTGCAGCAACCATCACTATAGCTCAGGCCATGTTTTTTTCCTGCTGGAGCTGAGGAGACTGGCTTGGTTCCAAAAAGTATTTCCTCACAATGAAGCACACCAGCTGTGCAAACCTTATCCAGACTGCCTTTTTAGGCTGGACCCTGACCCATCCCTCCTCAGTGGGCAGGGCTTCCCTGTAGGAACTCCAGCAACTACAGCCAGGGGCTTACGGACATAGCTCTGATATCCCTGGGCCTGAGTCTCTAAAGGGAGTGGTGGCTATGGTCTCCACAGACCAGTATATTTATTCTTTCCCCCTCCTAGCTCTGAAGAATCTGCATGAGATGAGAATGAACCAGCCCAGATGAATAGGTTTTCCCACAGCACAGCACACCCCCTCCACAAAGGGACAATCAAAGTGCTTCATTAAGCAGGTCCTGGTTCCCATTCACCCCAACTGGCTGAGACACCACAACAGGGGTCACCAGACATCCTATACTGGAGTGTGTCTACTGACATCAGGTTGATGCCCCTTGATGTCAGACATACCAGAGGAAGGAATAGGCACCCATCTTTGCTGTTCTCCAGCCTCCTTGTGTCACATCACCATGTGCTGGAGAGACCCAGATGAATATGGCAGGAAATGGACCCCCAGCAAACTGCTGCAGGCTTATAGAAAAGGGACCTAACTATCGAAAGAAAAACAAACAGAAAGCAACAACAACAGCATCAACAAAAAAGTCCCCACAAAAACCTCATCCAAAGATCAGCAGCCTCAAAGATCAAAACTGGACAAACTCATGAACATGAGAAAGAATCAATGAAAAAATGCTGAAAACTCAAAAAGCCAGAGTGCCTCTTCTCCAAATGATTGAAACACCTCCCCAGCAAAGGCACAGATCTGGACAGGGGTTGAGATGGACAAATTGACAGAAGTAGGCTTTAGAAGGTGGGTGGTAACAAACTTTACTGAGGTAAAGGAGCATGTTCTAAGCCGATGCAAAGAAGCTAAGAAACATAATAAAAGGTTATAGGAGCTGTTAACTAGAATAACCAGTTTAGAGAGAAAGATAAATGACCTGATGGAGCTGAAAAATAAAGCGCAAGAACTTCATAATGCAAAAACAAGTATCAATAGCTGAATTGATCAAATGGAAGAAAAAATATCAGAGCTTGAAGACTATCTTGCTGAATTAAGGCAGACAGACAAGATTAGAGAAAAAAGAATGAAAAGGAATGAACAAAACCTCCAAGAACTATGAGACTATGTAAAAAGACTGAACCTACAACTGATTGGAGTACCTAAAAGAGACGGGGCGAATGGAACCAAGTTAAAAAACACACTTCAGGATATCATCCAGGAGAACCTCCCCAACCTATCAAGAGAGGTAAACATTCAAATTCAGGAAATACAGGGGACCACAGTAAGATACTCCATGAGAAGATCAGCCCCAAGACACATAATTATCAGACTTTCCAAGATTGAAATGAAGGAAAAAATGTTAAGTGCAGCCAGAGAGAAAGGCCAGGTCACCTACAAAGGAAAGCCCATCAGACTAATAGTGGGCATCTCAGCAGAAACCCTACAAGCCAGAAGAGAGTGGCAGCTAAAATGCAACATTCTTAAAGAAAAGAATTTTCAACCAAGAATTTCATATCCAGTCAAACTAAGCTTTATAAGCAAAGGAGAAATAAAATCCTCTTCAGACAGCAAATGCTGAGGGAATTTATCACCACCAGGCTTACCTTGCAAGAGCTCCTGAAGGAAGCACTAAACATGGAAAGAAAAAATTGGTACCAGCCACTACAAAAACACACTGAAATACAAAGACCAATTACACTATAAAAAAACTGCATTAACTAGTGTGCAAAATAACCAGCTAGAATCATGATAGGATCAAATTCACACATAACAATATTAACTTTAAATGTAAATGGGCTAAATGCTCCAATTAAAAGACACAGACTGGCAAATTGGATAGGGTCAAGACTCATTGGTGTGCTGTATTCAAGAGACCCATCTCACATGCAAAAACACACACAGGCTCAAAATAAAATGATGGAGAAAAATTTACAAAGCAAATGGAAAGCAGAAAAAAGAGCAAGGGTTGCAATCCTAGTTTCTGACAAAACAGACTTTAAACCAATGAAGAAAAAAAGACAAAGGGCATTACATAATTGTAATAGATTAATTCAACAAGAAAACATAATTATCCTAAATATATATGCACCTGATACAGGAGCAACCAGATTCACAAAACAAGTTCTTAGAGACCCACAAAGAGGCTTAGATTCCCATACAATAAAAGTGGGAGACTTTAATACCCTGCTGTCAATATTAGACAGATTGAGACAGAAAATTAATGATATTTAGGACTTGAACTGAGCTCTGGAAGCTCTGGATCAAGTGGGCCTGATAGGTGTCTACAGAACTCTCCACCCCAAGACAACAGAATATACATTGTTCTCAGTGTCACATGGCACTTACTCTAAAATTGATCATATAATTGGAAGTAAAACACTCCTCAGCAAATGCAAAAGAACTGAAATTCTAACAGTTTCTCAGACCACAGTGCAATCGAATTAGTACTCAAGACCATACAACTACATGGAAATTGAACAACATAATCCTCAGACTCAGCCCAAAAGCTCCTTAAACTGATAAGCAACTTCAGCAAAGTCTCATTATACAAAATCAACGTGCAAAAATCACAAGCATTCCCATACACCAACAGTAGACAAGCAGAGCAACAAATCATGAATGAACTGTCATTCACAATTACTACAGAGAGAATAAAATACCTAGGAATAGAGCTAAAAGGGTATGTGAAGTGCCTCTTCAAGGAGAACTACAAACCACTGCTCAAGGAAATAAGATAGGAAACATAGAAACAGAAAAACACTTCATTTTCATGGATCGGAAGAATTAATGTCATGAAAATGGCCATACTGCTCAAAATGATTTATAGATTTAATGCTATTCCCATCAAACTATTATTGACATTCTTCACAAAATTAGAAAAATCGAATTTAAAATTCATATGGAACCAAAAAAGAGCCTGTATAACCAAGACAATCCTAAACAAAAAGAACAAAGCTGAAGGCATCACACTACCTGACTTCAAACTATATTACAAGGCTATATTAACCAAAACAGCATGGCACTGGTACCAAAACAGACATATAGACCAATGGAACAGAATAGAGATCTCAGAAATAAGACCACACATCTACAACCATCTGATCTTCAACAAACCTGACAAAAGCAAGCAAAGGGTAAAGTATTCCATATTTAATAAATGGTGCTGAGAGAACTGGCTAGCTATATGCAGAAAATTGAAATTGGATTCCATTTTTAGACCCTGTACAAAAATTAACTCAAGATGGATTAAAGACTTAAATGTAAAACCCAAAACTATAAAAACCCTAGAAAAAAATTTAGGTAACACCATTCAGGACATAGGCATGGAGAAACATTTTATAATGCAATGACCGAAAGCAATTGCAACAAAAGCAAAAATTGACAAATAGAATCTAATGAAAGTAAAGAGCTTCTGCACAGCAAAAGGCAACATACAGTATGGGAGAAAATTTTTGCAATATACCCATCTGACAAAGGTCTAATATCCAGAATTTACAAGGAACTTAAACAAATTTGTAAGAAAAAAAACCCATGCAAAAGTGGGCAAAGGACATAAACAGACATTTCCTAAAAGAAGACATTTATGCAACCAACAAACATATGAAAAAAAGCTCAACATCAGTGATCATTAGAGAAATACAAATCAAAACCACAATGAGATACCACCTCATGCCACTCATATCAAGTCAAGAAACAAAGATGCTGGTGAGGCTGTGGAGAAATAGGAATGCTTTTACACTGTTGATGGGAAGGTAAATTAGTTCAACTATTGTGGAAGACAGTGTGGCAATTCCTCAAGGATCTAGAACCACAAGTACCATTTGACCCAGCAATCCCATTACTGGGCACATACCCAAAGGAATATAAATCATTCTATTATAAAGACACATGCACACATATGTTTACTGCAGCACTATTCACAATAGCAAATATATGGAATCAACCCAAATGCCCATCAAAGATAGGGTGGATAAATAAAATGTGGTACATATATATCATGGAATACTATGCAGCCATAAAAAGCAAAGAGATCATGTCCTTTGCAGGGACATGCATGAAGCTGGAAGCCATTATCCTCAGCACACTAACACAGGAACAGAAAAACAAACACACATGTTCTCACTCATAAGTGGGAGCAGAACAATGTGAACATATGGATGCAGAGAAGTGAAAAACACACACTGAAGCCTGTCAGGGGCGGTGGGGAGAGGGAGAGTATCAGAATAAAACTAATGTATGTGGGGCTTAATACATAGGTTATGGGTTCATATGTGCAGTAAACCACTATGGCACATGTTTACCCAGATGTAACACACCTGGACGTTCTGCACATGTATCCTGGAACTTAAAATAAAATTTAAACCAAAAAAAAACCTCTTGTCAAGCAAGGTTTATGATTCTTTTTGTGGAGCACTTCATGCTGATGACATCTTGTCCATTCATTTAGGCAATGATGGAAAATCTTATTGATGTGAAAAGTCACTGAACAGGGAATTGGAAACCTGGATTTGAAAAAAATGTCTTCTTCTCATTCATAGGTAACGCATCACCTCACTGAGCCATGAGTTCCTTACTCTTAACGATAAAGTAGGGAATTAGAAGAGTGGGTTGCTGAGGTTCCTTCTATCTTTAATTATCTGTAATTCTCTCATTTTATAAAATGATACAGGTGGGAGTCTTATGATAGGAAGGAAGAGGAGAGTAGAGACCTGCATCTCTTAGGGAATAAAGCAGATGATCTAAAGACAGCCAGTGTTCATTTTAACCATAATAAAGGAGTGTGTTTCTTTCAGAGTTTAGAGCAATGTGAATCAGGCATCAAATTGCGGCTTATCTTTGTTCTAGTATAAAAAGTTCACTAAGACCTGGGTTCATGCAAGTTCAAAAGGTTACAAAATCAAACTTTCTTGACCCCCTTTTTAATCAACTGGTGCTGCAATGATTAACTCAATGTTTATTTTGAAAGTCACTGATTAGAGGAAATAATGAAATGGTGTATCACAGTACACATTCATGAATGTTGAACTGAATAATTTGCTTAGAGAGAAGTTTTTGAGGTGCAAAGGTTATGGGTACTAGCCTCTGCTCTACAACTTGCAGACACCATGTTCTTGGCGCAGATGATAAGTCCCTGAGTCTTGATATCCTCATCTTTAAAATGGGGATGATTTTACCATAGGTGAAGATAATTGAGAGAATCAAAAGTGATATAATGGGAGTGAACATTCTCTGTGAATTATCAGAGTCCCTGAAAACCTGAGGGTTAAACATTGTGTAAGTGGAGTCTTGACAAAAACTCAATTTTTCCTTATAAAACAGCTTAGAATAATTATGCTGACCAATTTAAAATAAATATGATAAAAAATTAAAATAAATATGTTAATATCTCTACAGTACATACCTTTGCACAAGCATTGCATTAGTTATCTAGCAATGTATATCATCCTAATGATACATAGGTCCTTATGCTCACTGAATTCCATCTCCCATTCAGGTTTGTATATTGTGGTCCTTATGTGCTATAAGTTTGTTTAATAAAGTCTCCTCTAAGAATAGACCACATGTTATGTACCAAAACAAGTCTTAAAATGTTCAAAAAATTGAAAAAATAAGCATCTTCTCTGACCACAACGGAATAAAACTAGAAATTAATAACGAGGAATTTAGAAAACTATACAAATACATGTAAATTAGACAATATGCTCCCGAATGACCAGTGGGTCAATGAGCAAATTAAGGAGGAAATTCAAAAATTTTTTGAAGGAAATGTTATTGGAAACACATTATACCAAAACCTATGGGTTACAGCGAAAGCAGTACTAAGAGGGAAGTTTGTAGCTATTAAGTGCCTACATCAGAAAAGAGAAAAAACTTCAAATAAACAATCTAACAATACATCTTAAAGAACTAAAAAAGAGAAAACCAAACCCAAAATTAATAGAAGAAAAGAAATGGTAATATCAAGGCAGAAATAAATAAAGCTAAAATTACAAAATTACAAAAAAATCAATGAAACAAAAAGTTGTTTTTTTTGAAAACTTAAACAAAATTGACAAACCTTTACCCAGACTAACAAAAAAAAGAGATAAGATCCAAATAGACAAAGTCCGAAATGAAAAAGGAAACATTACAACTGATACTTCAGAAATTCAAGAGATCATTAGTGACTACTATGAGCAACTACATGCCAATAAATTTAAAAATCTAAAAGAAATGGAAAAATTCCTAGATACAAACAGCCTACCAAGATGGAATTAGGAAGAAATCCAAAACCTGAACAGACCAGCAACAGGTAATAACATCAATGTCAGGATAAAAAGTTTTCCCATAAAGAAAAGCCCAGGACCTGATGTCTTCACTGCTGAATATTACCAAACATTTAAAGATGAAGTAATACCAGTCCTACTCAAGCTATTACAAAAAATAGAGGAAGAGGGAATACTTTCAAAGTCATTCCAGGAAGCCAGTATTATCCTGATACCAGAACCAACCAAAGATTCATATGAAAACAACTACAGAGCAATATCACTGTTAAACATTGATGCAAAAATCTTCAACAAAATACTAGCAAACTGAATTCAACAGTACATTACAAATGTCCATCATGACCAAGTGGGATTTATTCCTGAGAGGCAAAAATGGTTCAACATATGCAAATCAATCAGTGTAATACATTGTTTCAACAGAATGAAGAATAAAAACAATATGATCATTTAATTGATGCTGAAAAGCATTTGATAAAATTTAACATCCCTTCATGATAAAGACTCTCAAAAAATTGGGAATAGAAGAAACATACCTCAACATAATAAAAAGCACATATGACAGACCCACAACTAGTACATACTGAATGGGAAAAGACAGAAAGCTTTTGTTCTAAGATCTGGAACAAGATGAGGATGCCCATTTTCACCATAGTTATTCAACATATTACTGGAAGTCTGAGCTAGAGCAATCAGACAAAAGAAAAATATCAAAGGCATCCAAGTTGGAAAAAAAGTCAAATTATTCTTGTTTGCAGATGATACATCTTATATTGGGAAAAACCTAAAGACTCCACAAGAAAACTATTAGAAGTGATAAACAAATTTAGTAAAGTTGCAGGATACAAAGTCAAGATATAAAACTTAGTAACATTTCTTTATGCTAACAGTAAACAATGTGAAAAAGAAAAAATAGTAATCTCATTTATGATAGCCACACAGAAAATTAAGTAGCTAGGAATTAACAAAAGAAGTAAAAGATCTCTATACTAAAAACTATAAGACGTTGATGAAGGAAATTGAAGAGGACACAAAAAAGTGAAAAAAATTTCATGTTCATTGATTGGGAGAACCCATTTTGTAAAAATATATATTGTTAAAATATACTGCCCAAAGCATGCAGTTCCTTGCATTGCTACAGATTCAATGCAATTCCTATAACAATACCAATGACAGTCTTCACAGAAATAGAAAAAAAATTCTAAAATTTATATAGAACCATAAAAGACCCAGAATAGCCAAAGCTATTCTAAGCAAAATAACATTACTTGATTTCAAATTATACTGCAGAGCTATAGTAACCCAAACAGCATGGCACTGGTATAAAAACAGACACATAGATCAATGGAGCAGAATAGAGAACCCAGAAATAAATCCACTCTCCTACAGCAAACTCCTTTTTGATAAAGGTGCCAAGAACATACCTGGGGTGAAAGACAGTCTCTACAATAAGTGGTGCTGAGAAAACTGGATAGCCATATGCAAAAGAATGAAACTAGACCCCTATCTCTTGCCATATACAAAAATCAAATCAAAATAGATTAAAGACTTAAATTTAAGACCTCAAATTATGAAACTACTACAAGAAAGCGTTTAAGACAATCTCCATGACATTTATCTGGGCAAAGATTTCTTCAGCAATACCCCGCAAGCACAGGGAACCAAAGCAAACATGGACAAATGGTATCACATCAAGTTAAAAATCTTTTGCACTGCAAAGAATACAATCAACAAAGTGAAGGGACAACCCACAGAATGGGAGAAAATATTTGCAAGCTATTCATCTGGCAAGGGATTAACAATGAGAATATGCAAGGAGCTCAAACATCTCTATAGAAAAAAAATCTAATAATCCCATCTAAAAATTTGCAAAAGTTTTGAATAGACATTTCTCAAAAAAAGAAATACAAATGGACAACAGGCATATGAAAAGGTGCTCAATGTCAATTATCATCAGAGAAATGAAAATCAAAACTACAATATTACCTCACCCCAGTTAAAATGGCTTATATCCAAAAGACAGGCAATAACAAATGCTGGTGAGAATGTGTACAAAAGGACACCCAGGTACACTGTTGGTGAGAATGTAAATTAGTACAAGCACTATGGAGAACAGTTTAGAGATTCCTCAAAAAAAAAAAAAAAAAGAAAACAAAAACAGAAACAAAAATAGAGCTACCCTATGATCCAGCAATCCTACTGCTGGGTATATACCCAAGGAAAAGGAAATCAGAATATTGAAGAGATAGCTGCACTCCCATTTTTGCTGCAGCACTGCTTACACTATTCTAGATCTGGAAGTAACCTAAGTGTCCATCAACAGATGAATGGATAAAGAAAACGTGGTATATATATACACACACAATGAAGTACTTTTTAACCATTAAAAAGAGTGACATCCAGTCATTTGCAGCAACATGGATGGAACTGGAGATTGTTATGTTAAGCAAAATAAACCAAGCACAGAAAGACAAACATCACATATTCTCATTTATTTGTGATATCTAAAAATCAAATCAATTGAACTGATTGAACATAGAGAGTAGAAGGATGGTTACCAGAGGCTGGCAATGGTGGTGAGGGACTCGAGGAAAGGTAGGGATAGTTTATGTGTGCCAAAAATAGAAAGAATGAATAAGAACTACTATTTGATAGAAAAGTAGGGAGACTATACTCAATAATAACTTAATTCTATATTTTAAAATAATGTAAAGAATGAAATTGGATTCTCTGTAACTGAAATGATAAATGCTTGGGGGATAGATACCCCATTCTTCATGATGTGCTTATTTCACATTGCATGGCTATTTCAAAACATCCCATGTACCCCATAAATACATACATCATCTACTATGTACCCACAGAATTTTTTTAAATACTAAAAAAGTAAATAAAAAATAAAAAAATGAATTACATAAAAATAAACACAATAAAGTACATAAATATTTTGCTTGTGTTAAAAGTTATTTTTTGGAAAAATAAAAGAACCTCAATAACTCCTAAACATTACTAATCCATGAGAATTTATAATTTTTGTATCAAAATGGGACATATAAAATTTGCTTGCCTACATTTTTGCAGTTTATTTATTAGTTCTGTACTTATTGGAGACATTGAGATGATCAGTCCAGAAGTATTTGACAAGCACCTATTGTGTATATGGATGTGACCAAAGTTTCATGGAAGAATTAAAAATTAAATTGTTAAATAATTAGAATATACTAATTACACTGTTTTTAGTTAATAATAATCTAAGAAAGACAGAATGCATATGTCAGGTGAAATGGAAATACAAACAAGTTAAAAAATACAAATATAAATTGAAAGTAGGCATAATCATATCACACAGCATATGGAAGAGAGAGAAGGAAGGGTTAAACCTAGGAGGGCCTCTTGCAATCCCTGAGTTTTGATGTAGATCTTTAAATACTTGCACAAAACATAGGAGTGGGGATTTTAGATGAGTAGAATGGTGCTGTCAACTAAAGAAAAACATCTTCCTTTTAAAGAATTAAAGTTAATTTTATTCAGAGTCTTCCTGAGGACTGCAATCTAGGGTAGTTTTCAGAGTTTCTGTTAAAATACTCCAAAGTACTGTTTCAGCCAAGAGCTTATATACTGGTGGTGGAGGTTCTGCATGTGCTCATAAGTTACATCAAATGTGGTTAGAAGTTACATTAGAGCTAAACTTCATCAAAGTTTCAATGTAAAGGTAAATCTACTTATAAATTACAGATGCATAATTATTAAACCTGTAAGATATTATCTTACATACAGAAAAAGGCAAAGGCTATAATCATTAGACTTACAATTTTTAAAAATGCCATAATTCAGGAAAGATTATTGGAGACCTGTACTGTATCCTGCTTATAGCCTTCAAGTTATTCTCCCTGAAAGCTGCACTCAGTGGCTGAGTCAGAGTTTTGTGAATTCATGCTGACAAGTGGAATGAACAAACAGATTCTTCATGACAAGGGCTGACTATGTGGCTGGACAGAGCCATATGTTTGCTACTATTGTCTTGCAGTATGAAGAGATGTACAGAGGTATTTGGTGGCAAAAAGATGGAGGAGAGAAACCTTAATTGAGTGGAACCAAAAATGAATTTGAATAGATATGGAGTTGGGGATGTCTTTCAATAACCTGCAAACCTGAATGTTGACATGGAATGTTATTTGGTCAGGTATGCACCAGAAAAAGAGTTGAATGTGGATAATTATTAGAGGAAATTATAGTAGTTCTGTAGAATGATATATACAATGAGAATAGAACTCAGAGACCAGATTATGAGATTGTTCCTCTCTTTGGCCTCTGTCTTGAAGGAAGTCTGGATTATGGAAATGCAGATTCTATAATAAAGCCTGGCTCTCCATTCCAAGATGGCTGAATAGGAACAGATCTGGTCTGCAGCTCCCAGTGTGATCAATGCAGAAGACAGGTGATTTCTGCATTTCCAACTAAGGTACCTGGTTCATCTCATTGGGACTGATTGGACAGTGGGTGCAGCCCATGGAGGGCAAGCTGGAGGAGGGCAGGGCATCACCTCACCTGGGAAGAGCAAGGGGCCAGGGGATTTCCCTTTCCTAGCCAAGGGAAGCTGTGACAGTCTGTACCTGGAAAAATGGGACACTCCCACGCAAATACTGTGCTTTTCCCAAGGTCTTAGCAACTAGCAGACAAGGAGATTCTCTCCCATGCCTGGCTTGGCAGTTTGCACACCCACGGAGCCTTGCTCACTGCTAGCGCTGCAGTCTGAGATTGAACTGTGAGGCAGCAGGCTGACTGGGGGAGGGCGTTCACCATTGCTGAGGCTTGAGTAGGTAAACAAAGTGGCCGGGAAGCTTGAACTGGGCAGAGCCCACCGCAGCTCAGCAAGGCCTACTGCCTCTATAGACTCCACCTCTGTGGGAAGGGCATAGCTGAACAAAAGGCAGCACACAACTTCTGCAGACTTAGATGTCCCTGTCTGACAGCTCTGAAGAGAAAAGTGGTTTTCCTAGCACAGTGTTTGAGTTCTGGGAACAGAGAGACTGCCTCCTCAAGTGGGTACCTGGCCCCGTGTAGCCTAACTGGGAGACACCTCCTAGTAGGGGCCAACAGACACCTCATATAGGTGGGTGCCCCTCTGGGACGAGGCTTCCAGAGGAAGGATCAGGCAGCAATATTTGCTGTTCTGCAATATTTTCTGTTCTGCAGCCTCCACTGGTGATACCCAGGAAAAATCTGGAGTGGACCTCCAGCAAACTCCAACAGACCTGCAGCTGAGGGACTTGACTGTTAGAAGGAAAACTAACCAACAGAAAGGAATAGCATCAACATCAACAAAAAGAACATCTACACCAAAACCCCATCTGTGGGTCACTAACATCAAAGACCAAAGGTAGATAAAACCACAAAGATGGGGAGAAACCAGAGCAGAAAAGCTGAAAATTCTAAAAACCAGAGCACTTCTTCTCTAAAGGATCACAGCTCCTCACCAGAAATGGAACAAAGCTGGACAGAGAATGACTTTGACAAGTTGACAGATGTAGGCTTCAGAAGGTCAGAAATAATGAAAAACTTATCTGAGCTAAAGGAGCATGTTCAAACCCATTGCAAGGAAGCTAAAAACCTTGAAAAAAGTTAGACAAATGGCTAACTAAAATAAACAGTGAAGAGAAGACCTTAAATGACCTGATAGAGATGAAAACCATGGCACAAGAACTTCATGATGTATGCACAAGCTTCAATAGCCAATTCCATCAAGTGGAAGAAAGGGTGTCAGTGATTGAAGATCAAATCAATGAAATAAAGTGAGAAGACAAAGTTAGAGAAAAAGAGTAAAAAGAAATGAATGAAGCCTGCAAGAAATATGGGACTATGTGAAAAAACCAAATCTCTGTTGAATTGGTGTACCTGAAAGCAGTGGGGAGAATGGAACCAAGTTGGAAAACCCTCTTCAGGATATTATCCAGGAGAACTTCCCAATCTAGCAAGGCAGACCAACATTCAAATTCAGGAAATACAGAGAACACCACAAAGGTACTCATTGAGAAGAGCAAACCCAAGACATAATTGTCAGATTCACCAAGGTTGAAATAAGGAAAAAATGTTAAGGGCAGCCGGAGAGAAAGGTCAGGTCACCCACAAAGGGAAGCCCATCAGACTAACAGCAGATCTCTCTGCAAAAACCCTACAAGCCAGAAGAGAGTGGGGGCCAATAGTCAACGTTCTTAAAGAAAAGAACTTTCAACCCAGAACTTCATATCCAGCCAAACTAACCTTCATAAGTGAAGGAGAAATAAAATCCTTTACAGACAAGCAGATGCTGAGAGATTTTGTCACCACCAGGCCTGCCTTACAAGAGCTCCTGAAGGAAACAATAAACATGAAAAGAAACAACTGTTAACAGCCACTGCAAAAACATGCCAAATTGTAAAGACCATTGATGCTATGAAGAAACTGCAATGAACAGGCAAAATAACCAGCAAACATTATAATGACGGGATTAAATTCACACATAACAATATTAACCTTCAATGTAAATGGACTAAATGCCCCAATTAAAAGACAAAGACTGGCAAATTGGATAAAGAGTCAAGACCCATCAGTGTGTTGTATTCAGGAGACCCATCTCACATGCAGAGACACATAGACTCAAAATAAAGGGATGGAGGAAGATCTACCAAGCAAAAGGAAAGCAAAAAAAAAAAAAAAAGCAGGGGTTGCATTCCTGTCTTTGATAAAACAGACTTTAAACTAACAAAGATCAAAAGAGACAAAGAATGGCATTACATAATGGTAAATGGATCAATGCAACAAGAAGAGTTAACTATTCTAAGTATATATGCACCCAATACAGGAGCACCTAGATTCATAAAGCAAGTCCTTAGAGATCTACAAAGAGACTTAGACTCCCACACAATAATAATGGGAGACGATTAACACCCCACTCTCAATATTAGACAGATCAATGAGACAGAAGGTTAACAAGGATATCCAGGACTTGAACTCAGCTCTGCACCAAGCAGACCTAATGGACATCTACAGAACTTTCCACCCCAAATCAACAGAATATACATTCCTCTCAGCAACACATCACACTTATTCTAAAATTGACCAGATAATTGGAATTAAAGCACTCCTCAGCAAATATAAAAGAACAGAAATTACAACAAACTGTTTCTCAGACCACAGTGCCATCAAATTAGAGCTCAGGATTAAGAAACTCACTCAAAACTGCACAACTACATGGAAACTGAACAACCTACTCCTGAATGACTACTAGGTAAATAATGAAATGAAGGCTGAAATAAAGATGTTCTTTGAAACCAATGAGAACAAAGACACAATGTACCAGAATCACTGGGACACATTTAAAGCAGTGTGTAGTGGGAAATTTATAGCACTAAATGCCCACAAGAGAAAGCAGGAAAGATCTAAAATCGACACCCAAGCATTACAATTAAAAGAACTAGAGAAGCAAGAGCAAACACATTCAAAAGCTAGCAGAAGGCAAGAAATAACTAAGATCAGAGCAGAATGGAAAATATAGAGACACAAAAATACCCTTCAAAAAATCAATGAATCCAGGAGCTGGTTTTTTGAAAAGCTCAACAAAATTGATAGACCACTAGCAAGACTAATAAAGAAGAAAAGAGAGAATAATCAAATAGATGCAATAAAAAATGATAAAGGGGATATCACCACTGATCCCACAGAAATACAAACTACATCAGAGAATACTATAAAAACCTCTATGCAAATAAACTAGAAAGTCTAGAAGAAATGGATAAATTCCTGGACACACGCACCCTTCCAATACTAAACCAGGAAGAAGTTGAATCTCTGAATAGACCAATAAAAGACTGTGAAATTGAGGCAATAATTAATAGCCTACCAACCAAAAAAAGTCCAGGACCCGAAGGATTCACAGCTGAATTCTACCAGAGGTACAAAGAGGAGCTGGTACCATTCCTTCTGAAACTATTCCAATCAATAGAAAAAGAAGGAATCCTCCCTAACTCATTTTATGAGGCCAGCATCATCCTGATACCAAAGGCTGGCAGAGACACAACAAAAAAAGAAAAATTTAGACCAATATCCCTGATGAACATCGATGTGAAAATCCTCAGTAAAATACTGGCAAACCAAATCCAGCAGCACATCAAAAAGCTTATCCACCAGGATCAAGTCAGCTTCATCCCTGGGAAGCAAGGCTGGTTGAACATATGCAAATCAATAAATGTAATCCATCACATAAACAGAACCAATGACAAAAACCACATGATTATCTCAATAGATGCAGAAAAGGCCTTTGACAAAACTCAACAGCGCTTCATGCTAACAACTCTGAATAAACTAGGTATTGATGAAACGTATCTGAAAATAATATGAGCTATTTATGACAAACCCACAGCCAATATCATACTGAATGGGCATAACTGGAAGCATTCCCTTTGAAAACTGGCACAAGACAAGGATGCCCTCTTTCACCACTCCTATTCAACATAGTGTTGGAAGTTCTGGCCAGGGCAATCAGGAAAGAGAAAGAAATAAAAGGTATTCAATTAGGAAAAGAAGAAGTCAAATTGTCCCTGTTTGCAGATGACATGATTGTATATTTAGAAAACCCCATTGTTTCAGCTCAAAATCTCCTTAAGCTGATAAGCAACTTCAGCAAAGTCTCAGGATACAAAATCAATGTGCAAAAATCACAAGCATTCCTATACGGCAACAACAGACAAACAGAGAGCCAAATCATAAGTAAACTCCCATTCACAATTGCTACAAAGAGAATTAAATACCTAGGAATCCAACTTACAAGGGATGTGAAGGACCTCTTCAAGGAGAGCTACAAACCACTGCTCAATGAAATAAAAGAGGATACAAACAAATGGAAGAACATTCCATGCTTACGGGTAGGAAGAATCAGTATGGTGAAAATGGCCATACGGTGCAAGGTAATTTATAGATTCAATGCCATCCCTATTAACCTACCAATGACTTTCTTCACAGAATTGGAAAAAACTACTTTAAAGTTCATATGGAACCAAAAAAGAGCCCGCATTCCCAAGACAATCCTAAGCAGAAAGAACAAAGCTAGAGGCATCATGCTACCTGACTTCAAATTATATTATAAGGCCACAGTAACCAAAACAGCATGGTACTGGTAACAAAACAGATATATACACCAATGGAACAGAACAGAGGCCTCAGAAATAACACCACACATCTACAACCATCTGATCTTTGACAAACCTGACAAAAACAAGAAAAAGGAAAAGGATTCCCTATTTTACAAATGGTCCTGGGAAAGAAAACTGGCTAGCCATATGTAGAAAGCTGAAACTGGATCCCTTCCTTACAACTTATACAAAAATTAATCCAGATAGATTAATGACTTAAATGTTAGACTTAAAACCACAAAAACCCTAGAAGAAAACCTAGGCAATGCCATTCAGGACATAGGCATGGGCAAGGACTTCATGACTAAAACACCAAAAGCAATGGGAATAAAAGCCAAAATAGACAAATGGGATCTAATTAAACTAAAGAACTTCTGCATGGCAAAAGAAACTACCATCAGAGTGAATAGGCAACCTACAGAATGGGAGAAAATTTTTGCCCTCTACTGATCTGAAAAAGGGCTAATATCCAGAATCTACAAAGAATTCAAACAAATTTACAGGAAAAAAACAACCCCGTCAACAAGTGGGCAAAGGATATGAACAGACACTTCTCAAAAGAAGACATCTATGCAGCCAACAGACACATGAAAAGATGCTCATCATCACTGGTCATCAGAGAAATGTAAATCAAAATCACACCAGTTAGAACGGTGATCATTAAAAAGTCAGGAAACAACAGATGCTGGAGAGGATGTAGAGAAATAGGAATGCTTTTACATTGTTGGTGGGAGTTTAAATTAGTTCAACCATTGTGGAAGACAGTGTGGTGATTCCTCAAGGATCTAGAACTAGAAATACCATTTGATCCAGCCATCCCATTACTGGGTATATACCCAAAGGATTATAAATCATGCTACTATAACATGCATGCACACGTATGTTTATTGTGGCACTATTCACAATAACAAAGACTTGGAACCAACCCAAATGTCCATCAATGATAGACTGGATTAAGAAAATGTAGCACATATACACCATGGAATATTATGCAGCCATAAAAATGAATGAGTTCATGTCCTTTGCAGGGACATGGGTGAAGCTGGAAACCATCATTCTCAGCAAACTATCACAAGGACTGAAAATCAAACACTGCATGTTCCTACTCATAGGTGGGAATTGAACAATGAGAACACTTGGACACAGGGCAGGGATCATCACACACCAGAGCCTTTCATGGGATGGGAGGCTTGCGGATGGATAGCATTAGAAGAAATACCTAATGTAAATGACGAGTTGATGGGTGCAGCAAACCAACATGGCACATTTATACCTATGTATCAAACCTACACATTGTGCATGTGTACCCTAGAACTTAAAGTATAATTTAAAGATAATAAATAAATAAATAAAGCCTGGTTGTTCACGTTGCCATATCCTCAATGACCTATAAATATTAGCTGTAGTTAGAGGAGCATATGAGTGCCAAATAATAGGAGCCATGTGGGAAATTTTATTAATGATACTAGATATTGTATTTGATAAATTAAACCAAGAAGGGAAATGTTTGGATCATGAATTTGAATAATAGTAGAGTCAATTTGGACACTGGGATAAGAGTAATATAGATGTTATAAAGATAAATATAGGTGCAAAGTCTTCTTTAAACTGGGGAGAGACCCAACCAGAACAAACTGAAAACAGCTAACTCTAGACAAGAAATTTTTTACCTAAGGCCACTAATATTTTATTCAGTCACTTCATAGTACTGGAAAGAAATGAGGAATCAGTCAGTGAAAATGGCAATGAGTCGATAATGCTGATGAAGGTGACTTTCAAAGAATTGTCCATGAATATGACCAGTACCACTCAAATTATGTGTTCCAGATGGAATGAAGTAAAGGTGGAATAGTTCGATACAATTGGAGGGGAAAGAAGCAAATTGTTCCTACTCTTTGCCTTCTTTCTCCAAGGTCAATGATTCTTATCTTTTGGAAATCAATTAATTTTAGAATCTCATTAAATGTATGAACACCTTACCAGAAGAATGTAACTACATGAGTTCCCAGTAGTTTTCACACATTTATATGGGTTTTCTTAATGCTGTGGAGCCTCTCCACTAATCCAAGGTTAAAAAGAACTGTAAGGTCTCTGGTATTTCAGTTACCAGTGGCTATTTTCTCATTACTGTCTTTTAAAACTGCATTGCTCATTAGACCTCACTATAATATTCAGAATATAACTTTTTTTCTTTTTTGTTCTATTTACATAATATTTTTATTGAGGACAATTCATATACCATTTCTTCATACATTTTAAGTACAATTCATGGTTTCATTATTTTCATAGAGCTGTGCAGCCATGACAGAAATCAATTTTAGAACAGTTCCTTCAACCTGAAAAGATAACCAATATGCTTAACAGTCACTTCCTATTGTTCCCCAATTCTCCAGCTCTAGGCAATGCTAATCTACTTTGTGTATCTATAGATTTGCTATTCTGGACATTTTACATATATAGAGTCATACAGTAATTGATCTTTTGTTTCTGTCTTCTTTCACTTGCATAATGTTTTCAAGATTCATTGATGTCGTAGCACACATAAGTACTTCATTTCCTTATACGGTTGACTAATACTCTAGTGTGGATATATTATATTTTATGTTTCCATTCATTGATTGATAAACATTTTGATTGTTTCTATTTTTTGGCTATTATAAATAATGCTGGTATGAATATTTATGTACAAGTTTTTGTGTATATATATGTTTTCATTTGTTTACAGCATATACCTGAAAGTGGAATTTCTGAGTCATATGGTTACTCTATGTTTAATCTTTGGAGCAACTGTGGCTGGATCAAAGACACACCTATAAGAACTAAAAAGAAAATATTCCTACAAGAAAACATAGGCATAAAATTGGCTGAACCATTTTATATCCTCAGCAGCGTGTATGATGGCTTCCATTTTTTCATACCCTTGCCAATGCTTTTCATTATCTGTCGTTTTCACTCTAGCCATCCTAGTGGGTAAGAAGTGGCTTTTTATTTTGGTTTTAACTTGTATTTTCCTCATGGCTAATGAGGTTGGGCATTCTTTCATGTGCTTATTGACCATTTGTATTATCCTTTTATGAAAATATGTATTCAGATTCTTTGCATTTTTAATTGCATCATTATAATTTTTTAAGTTATTGAGTTGGAAAAGTTCTTATATATTCTTGATACAAGTCTCTTATCAGATACATAATTTGAAGATATTTTCTCCCATCCTGTGGGTTATCTTCTCTTTTCTTGCCAGTGCTCTTTGACATACAAAAGGTTTCTAATTTTTATAAAACCTAATATACTGATTTCTTTGGTTGCTTGTAGTTTTGGTATCATATTTAAGAAACAGTTGCCTAATCCGGGATCATAACGATTCATTCCAAGTTTTCTTCTAAGAGTTTTATAGTTTTAACTCTTGCATTTATGTCTATAATCTCATTCTGAGTCAATTTTTCATTCTAGTGTGAGTTATGTGTCCAAATTTATTCTTTTGCACACGGATATCTAGTTGTCTTAGCGCCATTCATTGAAAAGAATACTTTTGTCCTAATGAAGAATCTTGGCACATTTGTTGAAAATCAATTGGCTATACATGTGAGGGTTTATTTTTGGATTCTCAATCCTATCCCATTGATCTATAAATCTTTCTTTGTACGCCACTACACCCAATCATCTTTGCTGTAAATTTTGATGTTGAGAAGTGTTATTCCTTCAATGTTGTTTTTTCCACAATTTTTTTGGTTCTCAACAATTTGGGTTACTTATATTTCCATATAAATTTTAGGACAACCCTGTCAATTTCTGCAAAGAAGGTAGGAGGGATATGGTTATGGATTGTATTCAATCTGTAGATTTATTTAGGAAGTAGTATCATCTTAACAATGTTAAACCTTCCAATAGATGAATGTGGGATATCTTTCCCTTTACTTAGATCTTCTTTAATTTCTTTCAACAATATTTTCTATAGGCTAGCTTAATCTTGATGGACTGTCTTTATACAACCACTGATTCATCAAATTCACTTCCATTAATGGAAATATTAACATTGGCTTATAAATGTTCTACTCTCCTTTGGCCTAAAAATAATTTTGAGTTGACAAATTTAGAAAAGTGTATGAAGTTGATGTTACAATTGAGGATGATTTTGTATGTCTAGCAAGTATAAATGTGGAAAGGATTGGTGTGTCTCAGTAGAGTTGATTACACAATATTGGAAGTTCCACATATCACTCAGAAATTATAAGAACATTAATAAAATAATCTTGGCATAGAACATTGAATACGATAAAAAGTACTTTGGGTATGTTAATGATCCCCTGTAGTCAATATTTCAAATTGTCACATTTTATTGTCTTGAAAGCTGACAAAGTGTGTCTTCCAAATTTGTTCTGCTTACTTAATAAGTTTTTGGTTACTCTTAGGTGCTTACATTTCCAAATAATTTCTAATGGTATCTCTTTGTTAATTTCCCCAAAACACTCTTCTGTTATTTTTATCAGGGTGACATTAACTTTGTAGGTCAATTTTAAAAGAATTGATTTCTTGACATGTTGAATTTTTTAATTCATGAATCTGATTATGCTTCCAATTTGTTACGGCTTTTTTAATTTTCTTAGTAATCTTTAGTTTTAAGTGCAGTGACTTGTACATCTGTTAGGTTTTTTCCTTAAGCAAATGATATTTTTGATGTTATTATAAATAGTGTGCATTACAAAATGCCTTCTTATTTCTTTTTTTCTGGTACAAGGAAATATAATTACCTTATTATGTTTATGACCTCATATCTAGCAACTTTGCTAATTTTAGTTATCATTGACAATAATCTTTTTCTTGATGCATTTGTAATTTCTATGTACACAATTCTGTGATCTGATTTAATGTTTATTTCTTATTCTGTAATGGTCATAACTTTAATTTATCTGTATTGCATTATTTCACTGGTAAGGACAGTGTTGAATATAAATCATGATAGTGGGGAGCCTTGTTATATTTCTAATCTCTAGGAGAGAGTGGAGGTTTAATATCTCACAATTGAAAATGGTGTTTAATGTATAGTTTGGTAAATTTTTTTTATCAGATTTAGGCAATTGTCTCTCTTATTTTAATTTTTTTTGTCATGAATATGTATAATTTGATCAAGTGGATTCCGTTTGTTCAAATTTTATTTCATTTTTAGTTGACAACAATTGTATATATTTATGGGGTATAAAGTGATATTTTGATACAGGTATACATTATAGAATTATCAAATGGGAATGATTATTATATCTATCATCTCAAACATTTATTTCTTTGGGATGAAAACTGTTAAGCTTTTATCTATTTTGAAATAGATATTATTGCTAATTATAGTCACATTTCTGTGCAGTAGAACACTACAACTTATTTCGCCTATCTAACTGTAACTTTGTGGCTATTTGCTGATGACTCCCCTTTCCCTATCCACCCCTTCTCCAAAGACTCTAGTCACCATCATTCTACTCACTATTTCCATGAGTTTGACTTTTTTAGATTCTACCTATATGTGAGATCTTATAGTATCTGCCTCATTGTGTCTGCCTTATTTCACTTAACATAATGTCCTCTAGGTTCATCCATGTTGTCACAAATAACAGAATGTTCTGGATTTTTTAAAGATTGAGTAGCATTCCATTGTGTATATATACCACATGTCTTCATTCATTCATCTGTTGATGGACACTTAGGTTGTTCCGATATTTTGGCTATTGTGAATAATGCTGCTATGAGCATGAAAGTGAGGATATCACTTTCACATGCTGATTTTATTTTCTTTGGGTATAAACCCAGTAGTGGGATTGGTGGATTATGTGATAATTCTATGTTTAGTTTTCTGAGAAACCTCCATATTGCTTTCAAAAATGGTTGTGCTAATTTACAATACTAACAACAGTGTATGAATTTTCTATTCTTTACATCTTTGCCAATATTTATTTTTCTTTTTAAATCTATTAATATGGCCATTTATTTTGACCTGCCTATATATGTGGTATACATAACGTATATTAATATGCATTAATGAAAATACACATAGAGACACAGTTATATTTGATTTGCTATATTTAGTTGAGGATATTTGTATTTATATTTATAAGAAACATTGGTCTGCTAATTTTACTCATCAAAATTTTATTGTCAGTTTTCTGATATTAAGGTAATATATGCTTAATCATATTAAGGTAAATGTTGCTCTCTTAAAATAATATAGGGAATGCTCCCTAGTGTAAACATATTTTTATTGCCTTTTTTCCTTCTCTGTTTTTTTCTTTTTATTATTATTATTATTATAATACTTTAAGTTTTAGGGTACATGTGCACAATGTGCAGGTTAGTTATATATGTATACATGTGCCATGCTGCTGTGCTGCACCCATTAACTTGTCATCTAACATTAGGTATATCTCCTAATGCTATCCCTCCCCCCTCCCCCCACCCCACAACAGTACCCAGAGTATGATGTTCCCCTTCCTGTGTCCATGTGTTCTCATTGTTCAATTCCCATCTATGAGTGAGAACATTCGGTGTTTGGTTTTTTGTCCTTGCGATAGTTTACTGAGAATGATGATTTCCAATTTCATCCATGTCCCTACAAAGGACATGAACTCATCATTTTTTATGGCTGCATAGTATTCCATGGTGTATATGTGCCACATTTTCTTAATCCAGTCTATCATTGTTGGACATTTGGGTTGGTTCCAAGTCTTTGCTATTGTGAATAGTGCCCCAATAGACATACGTGTGCATGTGTCTTTATAGCAGCATGATTTATAGTCCTTTGGGTATATACCCAGTAATGGGATGGCTGGGTCAAATGGTATTTCTAGTTCTAGATCCCTGAGGAATCGCCACACTGACTTCCACAATGGTTGAACTAGTTTACAGTCCCACCAACAGTGTAAAAGTGTTCCTATTTCTCCACATTCTCTCCAGCACCTGTTGTTTCCTGACTTTTTAATGATCGCCATTCTAACTGGTGTGAGATGGTATCTCATTGTGGTTTTGATTTGCATTTATTTTTTATTGCCTTTTTTCCTTCTCTATTCTTTATCTGTTCATTTATTTCTATCTTTGCCATGCCTAGTAAGCCTTGGTTAAGTGCCAGTAGTTACATATAAAAAAATGCAGAGTTTCCAGTGAGGTTTATCTTCTTCCAGTAAGGGTTCATCCCTCTCACACTAGGCAGATAGAATTATTTAACACCTCCTGCCTTCACCCAGAATTAGATATGAACAACATCCAACATTGACTGTAGCCATCAGCTGACCTCTGAGGTTCTCCCATCTATGGATCCCTGAGACTAATTTTTAGCTCAAAAGTTCTCCAATCTTCTAACCCACAGTTTCTGTGTTTAATCAGACTTTTAGTTGCTACTCTAATAGCTACTCCATTTCACTTGAAGCCAGCACATATGACTAGTATTATTTTAAAAATGAGATAACGGGGAGGCAGAGGTTGCAGGGAGCAGTGATTGTGCCACTGCACTCCAGCCTGGGCAACAAAGCAAGCCTCCATCTATAAATAGATAAATAAATAAATAAATATAAATTTTAAAAAGATAACTAAAATTCTAGTTTGAAAGAAAAAATGGATTGTGAGTTTGCTGAGGTTGAAATTACTACTGTCATCTGGGTAAGAAGGAATTCTGAATATCTGTGTTGTGCCATATGGAAGCCACTAGCCACAGGTACGTATTAAGTACTACAAATGTGATTAATGCAACTGAACAACTGAATTTAAAACTGCCTTTACTTGTAATTACTTTAAATTTAAATTAAATAACCATGAATCATTATGGCTACTGTGTTGGACAATGCAGATCTAAGTTTTTTTTTCAGTAATGCAGGGTTAGAAATCCTTCATCCTCAATCTGTAATACTAAAATCCTGAAAAATTAAAAGCGAATTAAGTTATTTGTAATTTTATTTGATGGCCAAGACTTTAAGTGAAGTGAAATGAATCCATTTATGTCCCTTACTCATCCATCTTTGTGTAATTACTAATATTTTTCTAAAGAAATATCAAAATGTTTGATTATATTTTATCATCCACATTACTGGAAGTTTCCAAAATCTGTAGAAAATATAACAATATATATTTAAAGTCAAACCATTCTGAATTAGAAAACATATTGGGCTCCAGGGATTTCAGATAAAGGATGGTGTACTTATACCTCCATGAAGACAAATAATCATATCCCCAGTTAAAGCAGAAAAGTGGGAAGAGGGTATGATTGACTACCACCCCCCACCCACAGATAATTTTGAAATGAATGGTAAAAATAATTTTGAGAAAGGACAATTTCCTCCAAGTTGTAAAATAGTTATGTGGATTTTATGTGCCCAAATTATGCCTCTTCTTAGGTTTTCATGTGATTTTCCTTCCAGGAAAAGGCATGATCAGAGTCACAGTTGCATGCATAGGGAAGAAGGTTGAAGGAGTGTCATTTATGAACAGAGCATTCTCCCTTTGGCTTTTCTAAGTAAGTCAGGTACTGTCTCATGCAAACTGCCCTGAAAATGGAAAATTCAAGTAGGTGTTCCAAAACACAAGTGACCTGTGATAAGTCAAGTTTAGCCTACAGGTATCTGTTTACACGTTTTAATGTCAGTCCAAAGGTTTCTCTATAGATAGTGGACTCTGACCTGCCTGAACATGTAAACAAACTGTAACCTACTCTTGTACCAGTTACCAAGTTTCAGCTAATCAAAGGCAACCAAATGTTCCAACTATGTTCAAATAAGACAACTGCTAAGCTGTAACCAATCTAGCTATTTCTGCACTTCACTTCCATTTCTTGTACATCACTTCTCTTTTTCTGTCCATAAATCCCCTCTGACTACATGGGAGTACAGAGTTGCTCTGAAGCTATTCTAGCTTAAGCAGCTGCCCAATTTACAAATATTATTTGCCTAGTTAAACTTTGTTAAATATAATTTGCCTGTAGGTTTTAATTTTAACAAATGTTGTCTGAAGTGGGATCCAAAGTAGGTATTTTAGTGACCCCCAAAACATCAAATGACCAAATGAGGTACCTGCCATGTTGATTCATGTCCATTACTTTCTCACAGCTACTGGGGATTGTGGTTAAATTCTCTCTTGGATTACAAAGCTCTACAGATTTGCATTTTGAGCTATCTGTGTTTGAACACATTTTTAATCCAAGCTGGGTTTAACAGTCACAACAAAAACTGGATTAAATTAAAATTCAGATTAAATTTAATCCTTAACTGACTTGGATTCAGTTAGAGGCCTTAAATGCCTGACTTGGTCTTACAGAAACTGACAGTAAATGGAAATACTGAAAAGGGTGTGAAGTTCAGTTTTCATAAATTGCAGAGTTTTTTTTTGTGTGTGTGTCCTATCCCCTTTGTTTCTTCTTCGTGCGTAGTTAGGTGGGGAACAATCATTGGCTAAAGTGATCAAGAGGAATCTGAGAGCCAAAGCTAACATTTAACATAAAGATAAGATTCTTAATATCTAAAGAAATGAGTACTCTACCTTCTGGCTATGCCTACCTATACATGTATAATTATTAGGCTCCTAAAACAATAAATGCTTACAAAACTGACAGTTACTAAAAATATTAAATTACAATAAAATGTTCCAAATGAACAACACTACACTTTAAAAAGTACACTTACAAATGATAGCTTCCAAACTAGTCTCATCCAGGGATACCTATTGATATGCAAGAGCTTCTAAAGAGTGCAATATGTGTATTGCATCATTTAAAAGGCTTTCTAAAAGAAAAATAAAAGGCTTAATTGAATAATTAATAAAAATGTTCCATATGCTGATTCTCTTGGAAAAGGCAGAGCAAAATGGCAGAAGAGAAGGCAAAATTAGTTGAACCCTCATAGTATCCAGTTTTAACTACGTATTACTAAAGAGGCACTAAAGAGATAGAAAAAAAACCAAAAACAATCTTGACTCTCCAATCACCCCTTCCCCACTTCTCAACAGTAGCAGCATTGTGCAGAGAACATTTCTGTGTGCTTGTGGAGGGAGAACACAGCAAATCTGAGGCATTGAACTCAGTACTGTCCTGTTAGAGAAGAAAGAAAAACTGGATTAAAACTCAGCTGATGTCCACCCATGGAGGGAGCATTTAAACCATGCACAGCCAGAGAGGAATTGCCAATCCCAGTGGACCAAACTTGAGTTAACACAAACCTCACCACCAAGGGCTGAAGTACACTGTGTCTGTAAGTAAACTTGAAAGGCAGTCTAGGCCATAAGGACTACAACTCTTAGGTTAGTCCTGGGGCTGGACTGGGTCCAAAACAATAAACTGGGGGTGGGGAGGGCACACAACCTACTGAGATACCAGTTAAGGTGGCAAAGGGAATGCTGGTGTTACCTGTCTTATAATCGCAGGTTGTACAAGTTGTGACTTCAAAAATATCCCTTCCTTCCACTTGAAGAGAAGAGAGGAAAGAGAGGGGAGGACTTTGTCTCACACCTTGAACACCAGCTTAGTCATGCTGGATAGGGCACCAGTCACAGGCATGAGGCCCCCATTCCAGGCCCTAGCTCCCAGATGACATTTCCAGACACACCTGATCCAAAAAGAAACCCACTGCCTTGAGGAGAACCCAGTCCTGGAAGCATTTATCACCTGCTAACTGAAGAGTCCTTGGGTCCTGAATAACCAGCAGCAATACCCAGGTACTACATCAAGGGCATTTGGTAAGCCTCTGAAACTTGCAGGCTTCAGGTGGGATTCAGAACATTACCAGCTATGGTGTCTATGGGTTGAAACTCCTTCCACTTGAGAAAAGCTGAGGGAAAGTAAAGGGTTTTTTTTGTCTTGCACCTTAGGTACAAGTGCAGCCATAGGAAGGTGGAGCACCAAGCAGGCTCTTGGGGTCCCCAATTCCAAGACTTGACTCTTAAATGGCATCTCTGGACCATCCAAGATGGGGGACGCCCTGAAGGGTGAGTCCCAGGCCAGGTAGCATGCATCACAAGCTGACTTAAGAGCCTTCAGCTTCAAAGGAAATATGTACATAAAATATACATATCCATGTATATGTAATGTATATTGTATAAATTTGTGTAGTTACTGTTTTAAATTACTAAAATAATTTATAATTAATATTTAGTTTGTCAAATCCAAAAATCCTAAAAAAATAAAAACTTTAGGTACATTTCTACCATCTAATGATCCATTTTAACATGTTTAGAGATACTTCATTCAATTATTATTTTCAATACATGTTTTCTAGCTATATAATAACTTTTTCCTATACAAGAAGACACATACTATAACAGTAACTAAAAGGTTATTAAAAATGTGTTTTCTTCATGGGACATTTTGAAAAATATATTTTCTGACAAAGGTACTTATTTTACAAGCTATAAAATATTATAAATATGGTAACATTAGATAAAGATAACTAAATCAATTAGATTGCATTAGTAAAAACCAATACAGATTAATGGCAATCAGATCCACTTCCAGTGGAAAACATAAGTTCACCTCTTATAAAATAGTCACTAAAAGGCCTTTGCCCCTAATAACAAAACTTCATATACATTCACTCCTATATTCTAATATCACTAAATATTATGAGACTCTAATACATTATGCCATAATATATATTTTACCATGTAAAAAAGCTTTTCATAATCTATTGACTAAATACAATCCTACCTATGATAATCTAAAACCTAAACTTTGGGTCTTCTAAAAACAACATAAAAAAAGACTACCCTTGCCATGCAGACAATAACAAAATTTTAAGACCTCAAACCTTATGTTTGTAATCTCACAACTCAAAATGGTCCTCCAGACTCTGAAATCTATACACCCATTACAGATCTTAAAGTAAACCTTTCTCCCTGAAAACAGATAACATCCTAGACATGGACAACTACCCAAAATAACAAATCAAGACTTCTCTGCCATTATAGAAACTCTTAACTTTCTCAATTTTTTCCTACTTATGCCTTTATAAAAATTAAAACTAAAATAGCGGTCTTATGCACACTCATAGGATATACTTTTATTTGTAAAAATATTCACAGCCAACTTTATACATAGACAAACCTATGCCTTAATAAATAAAAACCAAAGGGCCAGTGTGGACAAAAAAATTAATGGTACCTTCACTATTCCATAATCAGTCAGAAACAAAACATTGGTTAACTCCTCTCTACAAAGGTTATGACTATATAGCAGACTTCTTTAAATTCCATTATAAGAGTTATATTAAATAATAAAATTACACTAAGTTACTGACTAAACACAAAAATTATCCAATTACTAACACTTCTTGGAACACATAAATATATTGAATATTATAAAAATTTGATTATAAAAATTAACAGGCTATTTGCTTAAAAATAGACTATCTAACTCATTCTTTAATCTATTTGATTTTAATTCATTTGGGTCATGGCTCATAAAAATCCTTACCAAAAAAATACTTCAAACTGTTACCATTATCCTCATAGTCATAATAATAATCCCCTGATACGCTAAATTCTCTCGAAAGCTTTAAATTTTTACATGTAGCCTTCCATAAAATGTCAAATAGTCTGTCTTCAACTAAAAAACCAAAAATTCAAATATAATGCAGTCATAAAAGTACTAAAACCTATAAACAATGTATTAAGACCAAAAAAAGTAAAATGACATTAAAGTTCTAAAAGTCACTCTCACCTAAATTAAAACCACACCCAAAAAACTTTTTAAACAGAACTAGGAGGCCAATTTTTCTGCTATTTATTTATTTGTCTATTTGTTTTTATTTCTACTTTTATGTTCAAGATGTACATGTGTGGGTTTGTAGTGTGGGTAAATTGGATGTCACTGAGGTTTGGTGTACAAATGGTCCCATCACACAGGTAGTGAGTATAGTACCAGATGGGAAGCCTTTCAACCCATGCACCCCTCTCACTCTCCCTCTTCAAGCAGTTCCCAGTGTTTATTGTTCCCGTCTTTGTGTCCATGTGTATTCAATGTTTGCCTCCCACTTATAAGGGTATAGAATATTTGTTTTTTTTTGTTCCTGCATTAATTCACTTAGGCTAACAGCATCCAGCTGCATCCATGTTGCTGCAAAAGATATAATTTCTGTTTTTTATGGCTGTGTAGTATTCCACTGTGCATATGCACCACATTTTCTTTATCTAGTCCAGCATTGATGGGCATCTGGGTTGACTGCATGTCTTTGCTATCGTGAATAGTGCTGCAATGCATAAAATGCATGCATGTTTTAGAGAGAACAATTTATTTTCCTTTGGGTATATATCCAGTAATGGAATTCCTGGGTTGAATGGTTGTTCAAAGTTCCTTGGGAAATTTCTACACTGCTTTTCAAACTGGCTGAGCTAGTTTATATTTCCACCAACAGTATATAAACATTCCCTTTTGTCCACATCTTCACCAGCATCCCTTGGTTTTGACTTTTTAGTAGGAGCCATTTTAACTGGTGTGAGATGGTATCTCATTGTAGTTTTGATTTGCATTTCTGTAATAATTAATAATGATGAGGAATTTTTCATATATTTGTTGGCTGTATCTATGTCTTCTCTTGAGAAGTATTTATGTCTTTGCCCATTTTATTTTTAAATTATTTATTTTTAATTAAATAAGAATTAGACATATTTATAGGGTACAACATGTTTTCATATATGCATACAATGCAGAATGATGAAATCAAGCAAATTAGCATCTCCATCACCTCACCTACTTTTCTTTTATTGGTGAGAACATTTAAGATCTTTTCTTTTAGCACTTTCAAAACATACAATACTGTTTGCCCTTAGTTTCCCACTCAGGTTTAGAAAAATTCAGTGACAGGCTCAGGAGTAAGGCATGAAGATAATAAACGATCACTGTTATTACTCTCTAGTACTGGGCTGAATATCAGGAATCTAGAAATGGTCTAGATTCTGATCCTGATGCTACTGAGTGGCAGATTGAGAATTATACAGCCACCAGCTGCATTGAATGAATTTAGGCAAGTCTCTTAGGCGACCAGCCCCTTTAAACTTTGAGCATGGAGAGGCAGAGTACAGTGAATGCCCTCTGTAGGCAGAAAGGAGGACAGGGAAGAGAAATTGTGTCAAGATGAACAAGTATCTTCTCTTAGATTCACCAGTAGTTCAGTCCCCTCCCTCTATAGAAGAGCAGAGAAAGACCAGGAATACGGCTTTAATGGACTATGTCCCCAAATGTCAAGCCACATTAGGAGCAATAAATAAGTATTCTTGCTTGACAGTGTCATGAACTAAAAATGCTGTCAGTAATCTGGCCATCACCCAGAAGTTAGAAGATTTAAAATGAGAAATATACCATCTGGAGAAAAGCAAAAACAAAAAAAAAACAAAACTTTTGTACAAGTAATAATGGCAATAATAGCTATTGGCTTTTGAGTGTTTATTACATGCCAGGCTGTGTTCTAATGAAAGTATTTCATTTAACCCTCACATAACCCTATGATATAGGTATATTTATTATCTCCTTTTTACAGATGGGGATAATGATGCAAAGACAGCCTAAGGAACTTGCCCCATGATACATAAGATGGGATGAAATTTGTATCTTTTCTGGCTTGTTTCCATCCAAGAGTAAGAAGTGTATTTTGAGGGATTTATGTAGTTCACATGGATGGATTTGTGTGGTTTGTAGACTTACCCTAGAATGCAATTTGAAACTTCTTCTGTTGGTGATCACTTATTTTTTCTTATTATACAAACACTGACTACCATAAGCTCTAATTTAATTCAGAGATTAGTTCTTTTCTTCCATCTAAGACATTCAATCCAATGCCCTGTTTGATTTTACTGAGATATAGTTTCTAGACAAAAGCTTTCTATTTAACTGTCACTATGGCTCATCCAATCAGTTACATGCTGTTTTACCTATAGTCCCCTTTTCTTTACCCCATTGTAGATAGATAATCAGAACAAAAGCTTGAAAAGTTTGAGGCAACCATTACAGTTTGAAAAATTTGTCAGAAGCAGACTCACCCTAGGATGCAATTTGAAATCTCTTCCTAGATTCTGTTGTCATTTATCTGTTTTTCTTTTCTTTTCTTTTTTTAATTTATTTTATTTTTTATTATACTTTAAGTTCTAGGGTACATGTGCACAACATGCAGATTCGTTACATAGGTACTCATGTGCCATGTTGGTTTGCTGCACCCATCAACTCATCATTTACATTAGGTATTTCTCCTAATGCTATCCCTCCCCCAGCTCCCCACCTCTTGACAAGCTCCAGTGTGTGATGATCCCTGCCCTGTGTCCAAGTGTTCTCATTGTTCAGTTCCCACCTATGAGTGAGAACATGTGGTGTTTGGTTTTCTGTCTTTGTGATAGTTTGCTGAGAATGATGGTTTCCAGCTTCATCCATGTCCCTACAAAGCACATGAACTCATCATTTTTTATAGCTGCATAGTATTCCATGGTGTCTACGTGCCACATTTTCTTAATCCAGTCTATCACTGATGGACATTTGGGTTGGTTCCAAGCCCGCTATTGTGAATAGTGCCACCATAAACATACGTGTGCATGTGTCTTTATAGCAGCATGATTTACAATCCTTTGGGTATATACCCAGTAATGGGATGGCTGGGTCAAATGGCATTTCTAGTTCTAGATGCTTGAGGAATCACCACACTGTCTTCCACAATGGTTGAACTAGTTTACAGTCCCACCAATAGTGTAAAAGTGTTCCTATTTCTCCACATCCTCTCCAGCACCTGTTGTTTCCTGACTTTTTAATGATCACTGTTCTGACTGGCGTGAGATGGTTTCTCATTGTGGTTTTCATTTGCATTTCTCTAATGACCAGTGATAATGAGCATTTTTTCATGTGTCTGTTGGCTGCATAAATGTCTTCTTTTGAGAAGTGTCTGTTCATCTCCTTTGCCCAGTTTTTGATAGGGTTGATTTTTTTTCTTGTAAATTTGTTTAAGTTCTTTGTAGATTCTGGATATTAGCCCTTTGTCAGATGAGCAGATTGTAAAAATTTTCTCCCATTCTTTAGGTTGCCTGTTCACTCTGATGGTAGCTTCTTTTGCTGTGCAGAAGCTCTTTAGTTTAATTAGATCCCATTGGTCAATTTTGGCTTTTGTTGCCATTGCTTTTGGTGTTTTAGTCATGAAGTCCTTGCCCATGCCTATGTCCTGAATGGTATTGCCTAGGTTTTCTTATAAGCTTGTTATGGTTTTGAGTCTAACATTTAAGTCTTTGATCTATCTTGAATTAATTTTTGTATAAGGTGTAAGGAAGGGATCCAGTTTCAGCTTTCTACATATGGCTAGCCAGTTTTCCCAACACGCTTTATTAAATAGGAAATCTTTTCCCCATTTCTTGTTTTTGTCAGATTTATCAAAGATCAGATGGTTACAGGTGTGTGGTGTTATTTCTGAGGGCTCTGTTCTGTTCCATTCATCTATATATCTGTTTTGGTACCAGTACCATGCTGTTGTGGTTACTGTAGGCTTGTAATATAGTTTGAAGTCAGGTAGCCTGATGCCTCCAGCTTTGTTCTTTTTGCTTAGGATTGTCTTGGCAATGCAGGCTCTTTTTTGGTTCCATATGAATTTTAAAGTAGTTTTTTCCAATTCTGTGAAGAAAGTCATTGGTAGCTTGATGGAGATGGCATTGAATCAATAAATTACCTTGGGCAGTATGGCCATTTTCACAATATTGATTCTTCCTATCCATGAGCATGGAATGTTCTTCCATTTGTTTGTGTCCTCTTTTATTTCATTGAGCAGTGGTTTGTAGTTCTCCTTGAAGAGGTCCTTCACATCCCTTGTAAATTGTATTCCTAGGTATTTAATTCTCTTTGTAGCAATTGTGAATGGGAGTTCACTCATGATTTGGCTGTCTGTTTGTCTGTTATTGGTGTATAGGAATGCTTGTGATTTTTGCCCATTGATTTTGTGTCTTCAGACTTTGCTGAAGTTGCTTATCAGCTTAAGAAGATTTTGGGCTGAGACAATGGGGTTTTCTAAATATACAATCATGTCATCTGCAAACAGGGACAATTTGACTTCCTCTTTTCCTAACTGAATACACTTTATTTCTTTCTCTTTCCTGATTGCCCTGGCCAGAACTTCCAACACTATGCTGAATAGCAGTAGAGAGAGAGGGCATTCTTGTCTTGTGCCGGTTTTCAAATATGGTGATTTGGTTTTTGTTGAATTGTTTAATTTCCTTATAGATTTTGGATAACAGGCTTTGTTACACGCATCTTTTGTGAATATATTCTCCTATTCTCTGGTTGTCTGTTTATACTTAGTTTTGTTTTTTTTTTTTCCTCTGCAGAAGCTCCTTAATTTATTCCACTTATCAATTTTGGTTTTTGTTACAATTGCTTTCGGGGTCTTAGTCATAACTTCTTCACCAAAATTGATGTCCAACATGGTATTTCCTAAGTTTTCTTATTTTTTTTTTAGGTCTACATTTAAGTCTTTAGTCCATCTTGAGTTATTTTTTGTATAGGGTGAAAAGAAGGGTGCCAGTTCTAATCTGCTGCATATGGCTAGCCAGTTATTCCAGCATCATTTATTCAACAGGAAATATTTTCCACATTGTTTGTTATTGTTGACTTTGTTGAAGAACATGTGGTTGTACGTGTGTGGCTTTATTTCTGGGTTATATAATACGTTCCATTGGTCTACGTGTCTGTTTTTGTGCCAGTACCATATTATTTTGGTTACTATAGCCTTGTAGCATATTTTAAAGTCAGTTAATATGATGCCCCTAGCTTTGTTCTTTTGCTTAGAGTTCCTTTGGCTATTCATGCCCTTTTTTTGTTCCATATGAATTTTAGAATAATTTTTTTAATTACTGGAAAAATGACATTTTAATTACGGGAAAAATGACATTGGTGGTTTAATAAGAAAAATAGTGAATCTTTAAATTGTAAGGTCATTTTAATGATATTGATTCTTTTTATCCATGAGAATGGAATGTCTTTCCTTTTGTTTTCATTACCGCTAATTTCTTTCAGCAGTGTTTTGTAATTTTCATTGTAGAGACCTTTCACTTCCTTGGTAAGCTGTATTTCTAGGTATTTTATTTTTTGTGGCTTTTGTAAATGGCATTGTATTCTTGATTTGGCTCTCAGCTTGGAATTTATTGTTATATAGAAAAGCTACTAATATTTGTACACTAATTTTTTATCCTTAAATTTTACTGAAATTGTTAGTCAGTTCTACGAGCCCTCTGACAGAGTCTATGAGGTTTTCTAGGTATAGAATCATATTGTCTGTGAAGAGAGTTAGTTTTACTTCCTGTCTTCTTATTTGGATGCTTTTTATTTCTTTCTCTTGCCTGATTGCTCTGGCTAGGACTTTCAATACTATATTGATTAAGAGTGGTGTGAGTGGGAATCCTTGTCTTGTTCTAGTTCTCAAGAGTAATGGTTCCAGCTTTTGCCTGTTCAGTATAATGTTGGCCACGGATTTTCATATATGGCTTTAATATTTTAAGAAGCCACTATGTTAAACTAAATTCATGCACTAGGCCTTAACAAACCAGACCAAACCAAAAAGAGTCACTCATACTAACTACAACATAATCAAACTAAAAGTTAAAAGAAAAAAATATCAAAACAGAACAAGTTTTTTTTTTCTCTCTCTCTTAAAAATACTGGAGGGAAGGTGGAACAATATGACAACATAGAAGGCTCCAATAATCATCCCCCCTGACAGGACACCAATTTAACAACTATCTGTTAGAAAAAAAAACAGTCTTGAATAAACAATACCATCCCTCCCCCATCTCTTGCCCCTACCTCTGCAGCTACTGTGTGCTGCAGAAAGCATTTCCGAGAGCTGGGGGAGAGAACACACAGCAATTGTGAGGCATTGAACTCAGTGCTGTCCTGTTACAGCAGAAAGGAAAGCCAGAACAGACTCAGCTGATACCTGCCCACAAATGGAGCATTTAAACCAGCCCTAGAAAGAGAGAATTGTCAATCCAGGAGATGGAACTTGAGTTCCCGCAAGCCTCTCCCCCATGGGCTAACATGCTCCAGAGTATCTAAATACTCTTAAAAGGCAGCCTAGATCACAAGGACTCCAACTTTTAGGTGAGTCCTAGTGCTGAACTGGGCCCAGAGTCAGTAGACAGGGTGGGTGGGGAACGTGACCTATTGAGACATCAGCTGGTGATGGCTAAGGGAGTGCTGGCACCTCCCCTCCCCAAAACCTCAGGCTGCACAGCTCACAGCTCCAAAAGAGATCCTTTCCTTCCACTTGAGGCAAGGAGAGAGAAGAGTCAAAAAGACTTTGTCTTGCATTTTGGATACCCAGTCACCCACAGCAAGATAGGGCACCAGTCAGAGTCATGAGGCCCTGGTTCTAGTCCCTAGCTCCCTGATGATATTTCTAGACAACTCTGGCCCAGAAAGGCTGTGTTGAAGAGAAGGACCCAGTCCTAGCAGCATCCATCACCTGATGAATAAATAGTCCTTAAGCCCTGAATAATCAACGGTGATACTAAGATACTAAATTGCAAACTTTGAGTGAGACTCTGAGACTTGCAGGCTTCGGGTACCAACCTGGCCACAGAGGTGCAAAGTTCAGGACGAGAGGGGAGCCCACTTCCCTAATAGTGAGTTATAGGCCAGGCAGCATTAAATACAAGCTGCCTGAGGCCCTTAAGCCTTAATGGACCATCAGTGGTAGTCTTGTAGAACTTCCCAGGGGTCTGTCATGGTGGTGGCCATGGAGTGAGACTCTTCTGCCTTTGGAAAGGGTAGGAAGAGTGGGAAGGACTGCATCTTGTAGTTTGAGTGCCATCTCAGCCACAGTACCACAAAACACCAGGTATACTTCTAAAGATTTTGACTCTAGTCCCTGGCTCCTGACAGGACTTTTGGACTCACCTATGGCCTAGAGGACCTCACCATCCTGGAGGGAAGGACACAAGCTCGGCTGGCGTTGCCACCTGCTGAGTGCAGAGCCTTAGGGTTTTGAGCAAACATATGGTATTGTTTATTCAAGACTGTTTTTTTTCTAACAGATAGTTGTTAAACAAAGCATAGTTACAGAAGCCCATGGGTGGGATCAGGTGCTGTGTTGGCTTCAGGTTTGAACCAGTGCAGTCATAGTGGTGGAGGCCACAGGGTTGCTTGTGTCACCCACCTGCAGCTTCAGATGGCTCAAAAGAGAGAGACTTTGTTTGTTTGAGAGAAAGTTTGAAGAAAGAACAAGAGCATCTGTCTGGTAATGCAGAGAATTCTCCAAAATTTTGTCCGAGAACATCACGATGGTAACTCAATGAATCTGCAAGAACTGCAGCATTACTGAGATTTCATTATCACCTAAAGCAGATACAGCTTAGACAACACCCAAATTCTTTCAAATAACTGAAAAACCTACCAAGAAGGACTGGTACATACAAGCTCAGACTGCAAGGACTACAATAAATACCTAATTCATCAATGCCCAGATACAGATGAACAAGTATCAAGAAAATCCAAGAAAACATAACCTCACCAGATACACTAAATAAGGCACCAGAGACCAATCCTAAAGAAACAGAAATATGTAACCTTTAAGACAGAGAATTCAAAATAGCTCTGTTTAGGAAGCTCAAAGAAATTCAAGATAACACAGAAAAAGAATTCAGAATTCTATCAGATAAAGCTAACAAAAAGATTGAAATAATTTTTTAAAAATCAAGAAGACATCTTGGAGTTTAACAATCCAATTGGCATGCTGAAAAATGCATCAAAGTCTTTTAATAACAGAACTGATCAAACTAAAGAAGAATTAGTGAGCTTAAAGATACGCTATTTAAAAATACACAGTCAGAGGAGACAAAAATAAAAATAAAAAGCAATGAAGCACTGCTATAAGATCTAAAAAACAACCCCAAAATGGAAAGTCTAAGAGTTACTGGCCTTAAAGAGGAGGTAGAGAAAGAGATAGGATAGAAAGTTTATTCAAAGGAATAAAAACAGAGAACTTCTCAAACCTAGAGAAAGATATTAGTATCTAAGGTTATGGAACATCAAGCAGATTTAATCCAAAGAAGACTACCTCAAGGCATTTAAGGATAAAACTCCCGAAGGTTAAGGATTTTTTTAAAAAAAGTATTCTAAAAGCAGCAACAGAAAAGAAAGAAATGATATACCATGGAGCTCCAGTATGTATGGCAGCAGACTTTTCAGTGCATACCTTGCATTCCAGAAGAGAGTGGCATGGCATATTTAAACGGCTGAAAGAAAGAAGATTTTACCCTAGAATAGTGTATCTGTGAAAAAAATAAATAAATAAAAATAAAAATAAAAATAAATCCTTCAAAAATGGAGAAATAAAGACTTTCTCAGACAAATGGTGAGGGATTTTGTCAACACAAAGCCTGTCCTACAAGAAATGCTAGAGGGAGTACTTTAATCAGAAAGAAAAAGAAATAAATAAGCAATAAGTAAGCACCTCAAGATACAAATTTCACTGGTAACAGTAAGTACACAGGAAAACACAGAATATTACAACACTCTAATTGTTGTGTATAAACTACTCTTTTTTTATGCTATCCCTCCCTCCTCCCCCACCCCACAACAGTACCCAGAGTGTGATGTTCCCCTTCCTGTGTCCATGTGTTCTCATTGTTCAGTTCCCACCTATGAGTGAGAATTTGCGGTGTTTGGTTTTTTGTTCTTGCAATAGTTTACTGAGAATGATGATTTCCAATTTCATCCATGTCCCTACAAAGGACATGAACTCATCATTTTTTATGGCTGCATAGTATTCCACGGTGTATATGTGCCACATTTTCTTAATCCAGTCTATCATTGTTGGACATTTGGCTTGGTTCCAAGTCTTTGCTATTGTGAATAGTGCCACAATAAACATATGTGTGCATGTGTCTTTATAGCAGCATGATTTATAGTCCTTTGGGTATATACCCAGTAATGGGATGGCTGGACAAATGGTATTTCTAGTTCTAGATCCCTGAGGAATCGCCACACTGACTTCCACAATGGTTGAACTAGTTTACAGTCCATCCAACAGTGTAAACGTGTTCCTATTTCTCCACATCCTCTCCAGAACCTGTTGTTTCATGACTTTTTAATGATTGCCATTTTAACTGGTGTGAAATGGTATCTCATTGTGGTTTTGATTTGCATTTCTCTGATGGCCAGTGATGATGAGCATTTTTTCCTGTGTTTTTTGGCTGCATAAATGTCTTCTTTTGAGAAGTGTCTGTTCATGTCCTTTGCCCACTTTTTGATGGGGCTGTTTGTTTTTTCTTGTAAATTTGTTTGAGTTCAGTGTAGATTCTGGATATTAGCCCTTTGTCAGATGAGTAGGTTGTGAAAATTTTCTCCCATTTTGTAGGTTGCCTGTTCACTCTGATGGTAGTTTCTTTTGCTGTGCAGAAGCTCTTTAGTTTAATTAGATCCCATTTGTCAATTTTGGCTTTTGTTGCCATTGTTTTTGGTGTTTTAGACATGAAGTCCTTGCCCATGCCTATGTCCTGAATGGTATTGCCTAGGTTTTCTTCTAGAGTTTTTATGGTTTTAGGTCTAACGTTTAAGTCTTTAATCCATCTTGAATTGATTTTTGTATAAGGTGTAAGGAAGGGATCCAGTTTCAGCTTTCTACATATGGCTAGCCAGTTTTCCCAGCACCATTTATTAAATAGTGAATCCTTTCCCCATTTCTTGTTTTTGTCAGGTTTGTCAAAGATCAGATAGTTGTAGATAAGCGGCATTATTTCTGAGGGCTCTGTTCTGTTCCATTGATCTATATCTCTGTTTTGGTACCAGTACCATGCTGTTTTGGTTACTGTAGCCTTGTAGTATAGTTTGAAGTCAGGTAGTGTGATGCCTCCAGCTTTGTTCTTTTGGCTTAAGATTGACTTGGTGGTGCAGGCTCTTTTTTGGTTCCATACGAACTTTAAAGTAGTTTTTTCCAATTCTGTGAAGAAAGTCATGTGTAGCTTGATGGGGATGGCATTGAATCTGTAAATTACCTTGGGCAGTATGGCCATTTTCACAATATTGATTCTTCCTACCCATGAGCATGGAATGTTCTTCCATTTGTTTGTATCCTCTTTTATTTCATTGAGCAGTGGTTTGTAGTTCTCCTTGAAGAGGTCCTTCACATCCCTTTTAAGTTGGATTCCTAGGTATTTTATTCTCTTTGAAGCAATTGTGAATGGGAGTTCACTCATGATTTGGCTCTCTGTTTGTCTGTTGTTGGTGTATAAGAATGCTTGTGATTTTTGTCCATTGATTTTGTATCCTGAGACTTTGCTGAAGTTGCTTATCAGCTTAAGGAGATTTTGGGCTGAGGCAATGGGGTTTTCTAGATATACAATCATGTCATCTGCAAACAGGGACAATTTGACTTCCTCTTTTCCTGATTGAATACCCTTTATTTCCTTCTCCTTCCTAATTGCCCTGGCCAGAACTTCCAACACTATGTTGAATAGGAGTGGTGAGAGAGGGCATCCCTGTCTTGTGCCAGTTTTCAAAGGGAATGTTTCCAGTTTTTGCCCATTCAGTATGATATTGGCTGTGGGTTTGTCATAGATAGCTCTTATTATTTTTAGATACGTCCCATCAATACCTAATTTATTGAGAGTTTTTAGCATGAAGGGTTGTTGAATTTTGTCAAAGTCCTTTTCTGCATCTATTGAGATAATCATGTGGTTTTTGTCTTTGGTTCTGTTTATATGCTGGATTACATTTATTGATTTGCGTGTATTGAACCAGCCTTGCATCCCAGGGATGAAGCCCACTTGATCATGGTGGATAAGCTTTTTGATGTGCTGCTTGATTCGGTTTGCCAGTTTTTTATTGAGGATTTTTGCATCAATGTTCATCAAGGATATTGGTCTAAAATTCTCTTTTTTGGTTGTGTCTCTGCCCGGCTTTGGTATCAGGATGATGCTGGCCTCATAAAATGAGTTAGGGAGGATTCCTTCTTTTTCTATTGATTGGAATAGTTTCAGAAGGAATGGTACCAGTTCCTCCTTGTACCTCTGGTAGAATTCGGCTGTGAATCCATCTGGTCCTGGACTCTTTTTGGTTGGTAAGCTATTGATTATTGCCAGAATTTCAGCTCCTGTTATTGGTCTACTCAGAGATTCAACTTCTTCCTGGTTTAGTCTTGGGAGAGTGTATGTGTCGAGGAATGTATCCATTTCTTCTAGATTTTCTAGTTTATTTGCATAGAGGTGTTTGTAGTATTCTCTGATGGTAGTTTGTGTTTCTGTGGGATTGGTGGTGATATCCCCTTTATCATTTTTTATTGCGTCTATTTGATTCTTCTCTCTTTTTTTCTTTATTAGTCTTGCTAGCGGTCTATCAATTTTGTTGATCCTTTCAAAAAACCAGCTCCTGGATTCGTTAATTTTTTGAATGGTTTTTTGTGTCTTCTATTTCCTTCAGTTCTGCTCTGATTTTAGTTATTTCTTGCCTTCTGCTAGCTTTTGAATGTGTTTGCTCTTGCTTTACTAGTTCTTTTAATTGTGATGTTAGGGTGTCAATTTTGGATCTTTCCTGCTTTCTCTTGTGGGTATTTAGTGCTATAAATTTCCCTCTACACACTGCTTTGAATGCATCCCAGAGATTCTGGTATGTTGTGTCTTTGTTCTCGTTGGTTTCAAAGAACATCTTTATTTCTGCCTTCATTTCGTTATGTACCCAGTAGTCATTCAGGAGCAGGCTGTTCAGCTTCCATGTAGTTGAGCGGTTTTGAGTGAGATTCTTAATCCTGAGTTCTAGTTTGATTGTGCTGTGGTCTGAGAGATAGTTTGTTATAATTTCTGTTGTTTTACATTTGCTGAGGAGAGCTTTACTTCCAAGTATGTGGTCAATTTTGGAATAGGTGTGGTGTGGTGCTGAAAAAAATGTATATTCTGTTGATTTGGGGTGGAGAGTTCTGTAGATGTCTATTAGGTCCACTTGATGCAGAGCTGAGTTCAATTCCTGGGTATCCTTGTTGACTTTCTCTCTCGTTGATCTGTCTAATGTTGACAGTGGGGTGTTAAAGTCTCCCATTATTATTGTGTGGGAGTCTAAGTCTCTTTGTAGGTCACTCAGGACTTGCTTTATGAATCTGGGTGCTCCTGTATTGGGTGCATATATATTTAGGATAGTTAGCTCTTCTTGTTGAATTGATCCCTTTACCATTAATTAATGGCCTTCTTTGTCTCTTTTGATCTTTGTTGGTTTAAAGTCTGTTTTATCTGAGACTAGGATTGCAACCCCTGCCTTTTTTTGTTTTCCATTTGCTTGATAGATCTCCCTCCATCCTTTTATTTTGAGCCTATGTGTGTCTCTGCCCATGAGATGGGTTTCCTGAATACAGCACACTGATGGGTCTTGACTCTTTATCCCATTTGCCAGTCTGTGTCTTTTAATTGGAGCATTTAGTCCATTTACATTTAAAGTTAATATTGTTATGTGTGAATTTGATCCTGTCATTATGATGTTAGCTGGTTATTTTGTTCGTTAGTTGATGCAGTTTCTTCCTACTCTCTATGGTCTTTGCATCTTGGCATGATTTTGCAGCGGCTGGTACTGGGTGTTCCTTTCCATGTTTAGTGCTTCCTTCAGGAGCTCTTTTAGGGCAGGCCTGGTGGTGACAAAATCTCTCAGCATTTGCTTGTCTGTGAAGTATTTTATTTCTCCTTCACTTATGAAGCTTAGTTTGGCTGGATATGAAATTCTGGGTTAAAAATTCTTTTCTTTAAGAATGTTGAATATTGGACCCCACTCTCTACTGGCTTGTAGAGTTTCTGCCAAGAGATCCGCTGTTAGTCTGATGGGCTTCCCTTTGAGGGTAACCCGACCTTTCTCTCTGGCTGCCCTTAACATTTTTTCCTTCATTTCAACTTTGGTGAATCTGACAATTATGTGTCTTGGTGTTGCTCTCCTCGAGGAGTATCTTTGTGGCGTTCTCTGTATTTCCTGAATCTGAATGTTGGCCTGACTTGCTAGATTGGGGAAGTTCTCCTGGATAATATCCTGCAGAGTGTTTTCCAATTTGGTTCCATTCTCCCTGTCACTTTCAGGTATACCAATCAGACGCAGATTTGGTCTTTTCACATAGTCCCATATTTCTTGGTGGCTTTGCTCGTTTCTTTTTACTCTTTTTTCTCTAAACTTCCCTTCTCACTTCATTTCATTCATTTCGTCTTCCATCGCTGATACCCTTTCTTCCAGTTGATCGCATTGGCTCCTGAGGCTTCTGCATTCTTCATGTAGTTCTCGAGCCTAGGTTTTCAGCTCCATCAGCTCCCTTAAGCACTTCTCTGTATTGGTTATTCTAGTTATACATTCTTCTAAATTTTTTTCAAAGTTTTCAACTTCTTTGCCTTTGGTTTGAATGTCCTCCTGTAGCTCGGAGTAATTTGATCATCTGAAGCCTTCTTCTCTCAGCTCGTCAAAGTCATTCTCCATCCAGCTTTGTTCTGTTGCTGGTGAGGAACTGCATTCCTTTGGAGGAGGAGAGGTGCTCTGCTTTTTAGAGTTTCCAGTTTTTCTGCTCTGTTTTTTCCCCATCTTTGTCGTTTTATCTACTTTTGGTCTTTGATGATGGTGATGTACAGATGGGTTTTTGGTGTGGATGTCCTTTCTGTTTGTTAGTTTTCCTTCTAACAGACAGGACCCTCAGCTGCAGGTCTGTTGGAGTACCCGGCCGTGTGAGGTGTCAGTCTGCCCCTGCTGGGGGTGCCTCCCAGTTAGGCTGCTCAGGGGTCAGGGATCAGGGACCCACTTGAGGAGGCAGTCTGCGCATTCTCAGATCTCCAGCTGCGTGCTGTGAGAACCACTGCTCTCTTCAAAGCTGTTAGACAGGAACATTTAAGTCTGCAGAGGTTACTGCTGTCTTTTTGTTTGTCTGTGCCCTGCCCCAAGGTGGAGCATACAGAGGCAGGCAGGCCTCCTTGAGCTGTGGTGGGCTCCACCCAGTTGGAGCTTCCTGGCTGCTTTGTTTACCTAAGCAAGCCTGGGCAATGGCAGGCGCCCCTCCCCCAGCCTTGCTGCCACCTTGCAGTTTGATCTCAGACTGCTGTGCTAGCAGTCAGCAAGACTCTGTGGGCGTAGGACCCTCTGAGCCAGGTGCGGAATATAATCTCCTGGTGCGCCGTTTTTTAAGCCCATCGGAAAAGCACAATATTTGGGTGGGAGTGACCCAATTTTCCAGGTGCCGTCTGTCACCACTTTCTTTGACTAGGAAAGGGAACTCCCTGATCCCTTGTGCTTCCCGAGTGAGGCAATGCCTCACCCTGCTTCGGCTCGTGCACGGTGCGTGCACCCACTGACCTGCTCCCACTGTCTGGCACTCCCTAGTGAGATGAACCTGGTACCTCAGATGGAAATGCAGAAATCACCCGTCTTCTGCGTCGCTTACGCTGGGAGCTGTAGACCGGAGCTGTTCCTATTTGGCCATCTTGGCTCCTCCCCCGATTTCTCTTTTTTTTTTTTTTTTTGAGACAGACTCTCACTCTGTCGCCCAGTCTGGAGTGCAGTGGAGCGATTTCGGCTCACTGCAAGCTCTGCCTCCTGGGTTCATGCCATTCTCCTGCCTTTGCCTCCTGAGTAGCTGGGACTACAGGTGCCTGCCAACATGCCCAGCTAATTTTTTGTATGTTTTAGTAGAGATGGGGTTTCACTGTGTTAGCCAGGATGGTTTCGATCTCCTGACCTTGTGATCCACCTGCCTTGGCCTCCAAAGTGCTGGGATTACAGGCATGAGCCACTGTGCCCAGCCATAAACTACTCTTATCTTATGTAGAAAGGCTGAATGATGAGCCAATCAAAAATAATAACTACAACAACTTTTTCAAGAAATAGGCAGTGCTGTAAGATATAAATAGATACTACAAAGAGTTAAAAAGCAGGTGGAGGAAGTTGAGGTGTAGAACTTTTATTAGTTCATTTTTGCTTGTTTGTTTGTTTATCTAAACAGTGTTACATTTTTATCAGGTTAAAATAGTGGGTACTGAGACAGTATTTGCAAGTCCATGTGGGAATCTCAAGTCAAAATACATAAAATGGATACAAAAAAAATAGAAAGCAAGAAACTAAACTGTATCAACAGAGAAAATCACCTTCACTAGAAGGAAGACAGGAAGGAAAGAAGACCACAAAACAACCAGAAAACAAATGAGAAAATGGAAGGAGTAAGTCCTTACTTATCAATAATAACATTGAATGTAAATGGAATAAACCATCCAATCAAAACACAGAGTGGCTGAATGGAGGAAAAAGCAAGATCTATTGACCGTTGCCTGCAAGAAACACACTTCACCTATAGAGACACACATAGACTGAATGTAAAAAAATGGAAAAATATATTCCATGCCATTGGAACCCAAAAAAGAGCAGGTGTAGCCATACTAATATCAGACTAAATAGATTTTAAGACAAAAACTATAAGAAGAAAAAAAAACTGTAAGAAGAAACAAATAAGTCAACTTTGATGACCCCATTTAATGATAATGGAGACAATTGAGACAGATGATATGAGAATTTTTAATATATATGCATCCAACACTGGAGCACCCAGATATGTAAAGCAAATATGATTTTAGATATATAGAAAGGTAAACTTTAATACAATAATAGCTGGAGATTTCAACACTTTACTTTCAACATTGGATAGGTCCACTTGACAGACAGTAAACAAAGAGGCTGGGTACAGTGGCTCACACCTGTAATCCCAGCACTTTGGGAGGCCAGAGTGAACAGATTACTTGAGCTCAGGAGTTTGAGACCAGCCTGGCAACATACTGAGACAATGTTTCTACCCAAAAAAAAAAAAAAGAAGAAGAAAAGAAAAAGAGGGAAGGGAAGGGAAGGGAAAGGAAGGGGGAGGGAGAGGGAGGGGAGGGCAGGGGAGGGGAGGGGAGGGGAGACATCTGACATAATCTGCACTACACATCAAATGGATATAATAGATATTTACAAAAGGTTTTATATAATCACTCTAGAACACATACTCTTTTCCTCAGCACATGGATTATTCTCAATAATAGACCATATCTTAAGTCACATAACAAGTCTTAAAACATTCAAAAATAATTGAAATAATATAAACCAACTTCTATGGCCACAGTAAAGTAAAACTGGAAGTCAATAACAGAGGAATCTTGGAAAATATACAAATATATGAAAATTAAACAGTGTGCTCCTGAATGACCAGTGGGTCAATGAAGAAATTTAGAAGAAAATTGAAAATTTCTTGAAATAAATGATAATAGAAACACAACATAACAAAACCTATGAGATACAGCAAAAGCAGTACTAAGAGGAAGTTTATAGCTGTAAGTGCCTACATCAAAAAAAGAGGAAAACCTTCCTATAAATAATCATAACAATGCATCTTAAAGAACAAGAAAAGCAAGAGCAAATGAAAGCCAAAACTAGAAGAAAAGAAATAATAAAGATCAAAACAGAAATAAATTAAATTGAAAAGAAAATAATATAGAAGATGAATTAGCAAAACATTGATTTTGGAAGGTTAAACAAAACTGAAAAACCTCTAGCAAGATTAATTTTAAAAAGAGAAGACCCAAATAAATGAAATCAGAGATGAAAAAAGAGACCTAACAACTGATACTGCAGAAATTTAAAGGATCATTAGTGGTTACTGTGAGCAACTATAAGTCAATAAATTGAAAAACTTAGAAAAAGTGGACAAATTCCTAGACATATACAATCTATCAAGATTGAAACATGAAGAAATCTAAAGCCTGACATGTCAATAACAAGTAATGAGATCAAAGTTGTATTAAAAATCTTCCTGTAAAGAGAAGCCCTGGACCCGAAAGCTTCACCACTGCATCCCACCAAACATTTAAAAAACAACTAATACCAATTCTACTCAAACTATGCCCCCCCAAAAAAAATAGAGCAGGAGGGAATACTTCCAAGCTCATTCTACAAAGCCAGTGTAACCCTGACAATAAAACCAGGCAAAAACATATCAAAAAGAAAAAACTATAGGCCAATTTTGCTGATGAATATTGATGCAAAAATTCTCAACAAAATGCTAGCAAGCTGAATTCAGCAATATTTTAAAAGGACCATTCATCGTGATCAAGTGGGATTTATCCCTGGGATGGAAAGATAGTTTAACTTATGCAAGTCAATTAATGTGATACATCCTGTCAACAGAATGAAAACTATGTGATCATTTCAATTGATGCTGGAAAATCATTTGATAAAGTTCAACATCCTTTCATGATAAAAACCCTCAAAAAACGGGGAATAAAGGAAATAAAACTCAACACAGTAAAACTCATATATGATGGAACTATTAATTATGATAGCTATTATCTTACTTAAAGAGGAAAAATTGATAGGTTTTTCTCTAAGATCTAGAGTTTAAAAACAATGCCTATTTTTATTTTCACCACTGTTATTCAACATAATATTGGAAGTCCTAGCTAGAGTAATCAGACAAATGAAAGAAATAAAGGGCATTTGAATGGAAAAGGACAAATTCAAATTACCCTTGTTGCAGATGGTATAATCTTATAGTTGGAAATACCAAAAGATTCCACCTAAAAAAGCTATTAGAACTGATTTAGAAATTTAGTAAAGTTGCATGATACAAAATCAACATACAAAAATAAGTAGTCTTTTTATATGTCAACAGTGAACAACCTGAAAAAAAATTAAAAAGTAACCTCATTTACAATAGTCACAAACAAAATTAAAGATCTAGGAATTAACTTAATAGTATGAGAGAAAGATCTCTATAAAAAAACTGTAAAACTCTAATTTAAAAAATTGAAGAGAACAGGGAACAAATGAAAAGATATTTCATGTTCATGGAATGGAAGAATCAATATTGTTAAAATATTCTTGCTACCCAAAGAAATCTACAGATTCAATGCTATCACTACCAAAAAAAATGTCATTCTTCACAGAAATAGACAAAAAAACTATCCTAAAGTTTATAAGGAATTACAAAAGACCTAGAATAGCAAAAGCTATTCTAAACAAAAATAATAAAATCAGAAGAACCACATTACCTGACTTCAAATTTTACTACAAGGTTAGAGTAACCCAAACAACATGGTACCGGCATAAAAAAAGGACACATAAACCAATAGAACAGAATAGAGAATCCAGAGACAAATTTACACAACTACAGTGAAGTCACTTTTGACAAATGTGCTAAGAACATACACTGGGGAAGAGACAGTTTTTTCAATAAATGGTGCTAGGAAAACTGGATATCCATATGCAGAAGAATGAAACTAGACCTCTATCTATAATCATATACAAATATCAAATCTAAATGGATTAAAGACTTAAATCTAAGACCTCGAACTATGAAAATACTACAAGAGAACAATGAGGAAAATCTCCAACACATTGGTCTGGGCAAAGATTTCTTGAGCTATACCCCACAAGCACAGACAACCAAAGCAAAAGTGGACAAATTAGATCACATCAAGTTAAAACACTTTTGCATAATAAATAAAACAATCAACAAAGTGAAGACACAGCCCACAGAATGGGAGAAAATATTTGCAAACTACCCATCTGACACAAGATTAGTAACCAGAATATATAAGGAGCTTGAACATTTCTGTAGAAAAATATTTAATAATCTGATCAAAAAATGGGCAAAACACTCGAATAGATATTTCTCAAAAGAAGATGTATGAATGGCAAATAGGCATATAAAAATGTGCTTAACATTGATCATCAGAGAAATGCAAATTAAAACTACAATGAGATATCATCTCACTTCAGTGAAAATGGCTTATATCCAAATGACAGGCAATAACAAATAAAGAGAATGTGGAGAAAAGGGAGCCCTCATACACTGTTGGTGGGAAGGTAAATTACTACAACCACTATGAGAGAACAGTTTAGAGGTTTCTTGGAAACTAAAAATAGAGCTACCATATGATCCAGCAATCCCATTGCTGGGTGTATACCCTAAAGAAAGGGAATCAGTGTGTCAAAGAGATAACTGCATTCCTATGTTTGTCACAGTACTGCTCACAATAGCCGAGATTTGGAATCAACCTAAGTGTCCATCAACAGACGAATGGATAAAGAAAATGTGGCATATATACACAAAGAAGTTCTATTCAGCCATAAAAAAAGAATGAGATCCAGTCATTTGCAACAACTTAGATGCAACTGGAGATCACTATGTTAAGTGAAATAAGCCAGACACAGAAAGATGAACATTGCTTGTTTTCACTTATTTGTGGGTTCTAAAAATCAAAGAAATTTAACTCATTTCATACCCCCCATTCTCCCACTACCCTTCCCATCCTCTGGTAACTCTACTGTCTATTAGAGAAGTTACTCTCTCATAGTTACAAAAGGCTGGGAAGGGTAGTGGGAGGGTGGGGGTATCTGGGGTGCTTAATGAATGCAAAAAAATAGTTAAAATAAAAGACCTACTATTTGATAGAAAACCAGAGTGATTATAGTCATTAATAATTGAATTGTACCTTTTAAAATAACTAAAAGAGCATAATTATATTGTAACTCAAAGGATAAATGCTTGAGGGGATGGATATTCTATTTTTTGTGATGTGATTTTTACACATTACATGCCTGTATCAACACATCTCATATACTCCATAAATAAGTACACTGACTATGTACCCACAGAAATTAAAAATTAAAGAAAAAAATTAAATGAATTCAAAAACAAAGAGAGTCTCTCTACTGTAAACCTTACAAAAAATAATGTGAAATCCTTACTCCTATATTAGAACAGAATAGAAAACCCATAGATAAAGCCACATACCTATGGCCAACAGATCTTTGGCAAAGTTAACAAAGATATACACTGTGGAAAGGACACCCTATTCAATAAATGGTGCTGGGAAAATTAGCTCGCCATAAACAGAAGAATGAAATTGGGCCCCTAATTCTTACTACATATCAAAATTAACTTAAGATGGATTAAAGACAAATATGAGACCTAAAACCATAAAAATCATAGAAGAAAACCTAGGAAAAATTCTGACATTGGCCTAGGCAAATAATTCATAACTAAGACCTCTAAAACAAATGCAACAATATCCTGTGACAATTGGAACTTTGCCCAGTTTTTAATGGGGTTATTTGTTTTGTCTTATTGACTTGTTTGAGTTCCTTATAAATTCTGGATATTAGCTCTTTTTTGAATGCACAGTTTGCAAATATTTTACTCTATTTTGTAGGTTGTCTGTTTACTCTGTTAATTATTTCTTTGCTGTGCAGAAGCTTTTTAGTTTAATTAAGTCCCATTTGTCTTAAAATGTTTTAGCAAAAATAAGAATCTAGATGTAAATCTTACACTTTTCACAAAAGTTAACTCCAAATTGTTTATAGAACTAAATGTGAAACACAAAACTATAAAACTCTGAGAAGATAACATAGGAGAAAATATAGAAGACCTTGGCAATGGTTTTTCAAATACAACAACAAGTGCACAATCCATGAAAGAACAAATCAATAATCCGAACTTTGTTAAAACAAAAAAAAAGTTTTACTCTGTAAAAGACACTATCAAGGGAGGGAGAAGTCCAGCTAAAAGAGGAATAATAGTTCCAAAAGATACAAGAATATATCTTTATAAGAATAAAACACTGTCATCCAAAATACCCAAAGAACTCTTAAAGCTCAGCAACAAAAAAGTGGACACCCTCAATAGAAACATGGGCAAAAGATTTGAACAGACACCCCACCCATGAAGATAAACAGATGTCAAATAAGCATGAAAACTGTTCAACATTACACATAATTAGGGGCCTGCAAACGAAGACAACAATGACACATACCTTTATAATAATGAACATCTAAGGCACTGATAAAACCAAATGTTGGCAAGGATTTGAAGCAATGGGAACTATTAGTTATTGCTGATATGAATGCAAAATGTCACAGACACTCTGGAAGAGAGTTTGGTGGCTTTTACAAAACTAAAATATGCTTACCATATGATCCAGCAGTTGTGCTCCTTGATATTTGCCAAATGAGTTGAAAACATATGTCCACACAAAACTTGCACAAGGACATTTATAGCATCTTTATTCATTATTGCCAAAATTGGAAGCAACCAAGATATCCTTCACTAGATGAACAGATAAACTGTGGTACATCAATGCAAGGGAATATTATTATATTACTATTTGGTGGTAAGAAGAAATGAGCTTTCAAGCCATGAGACGACATGGAGAAACCTTCTGCATATTAATAAGTGATGGAAACCTGCCTGAAAAGGCTACATACTGTGTGATTCCAACTATATAACAATCTCTTATAGTAAAGGCAAAACCATGGCAACACTAAAGTGAACTGTGGTTCACTTGTTACCAAGGACTTGCATGGAAGGGAGAGAATACGCAGAGCATGGGGGGTTTTTAGGACAGCAAATCTATTCTGTATGATGCTACGATGGTGGATATATGGCATTATACATCAGTCAAATTTATAGAATGTACAACACAAACAGTAAACCCTATGTGAACTTCGAACTTTGGTTGATGATTATGTCTTATTGTTGGCTCACTGACTGTAACTAATGAACCCCACTGATGGGGGTTGTTGATTGTGGGAAAGACTATTTGTAGGTGTGGTGAAGGGGTTTGTGGGAACTGTTGCTCGGAGCCTAAAATTGCTATAAAAATAAATTCTATTAATTAAAAAAAAACCCCGCTCTAATTCACAACCCTATCCAAGCTGAGGTGGGTGTCAATCTGTGACTGTAGAGGGCTTAATTAATGCTAATACACTCTTGATCATTTGGACTTAGGTGGGAATTCTATAGGATAGGGTATTTCACTGAACCACCAAGCAGGAAAACTGGGATTCTAATACAAAATCTTTTACTGGTGCATTGATAATGCTCTAACTCACTGAGTCACCAATTGCTCATTCCTGAAAAACAAAGCAAAATTAAATTAGTAGATCTCAGAGATCCCGTCTGTCTTTAAATTATCTATGTTCCTTTTATTCTATAAAAAGAAAGGTCAAGGCAGGAGCCTCAGCTCAGGAGAAGAAACAAGGAGCAGAGCAAGGGCAACTGTTTCTCAAGGAATAAAATTATTGCTCTAAAGAGAGAAAGTGAACTTATTTTATCCAAATAAACTAGCTTATACCTACGTGAGTGAGGCAGCAAATTACTACTTCCCTTTGCCCTGGATAAAGGGTTCACCAGGACCTGGACTCACTCACCTTTTAAAGGTTATAAAACCAAACACGTCTGACCCACATTTTACTCAACTGGTGCTAGAATTATTAACTAAATTAATGTTTATTTTGAAAGTCACTGATTAGATTAATCCACAAGTATTGAATTTTAGTCAATCTTGGTGGCCCGGTTTAACTGGATGTTTTGCTTAAAAGGAAGGCAGCAAGATGCAGGGGTTATGGTTTCCAGCCCCAGCTTGGTCACTTGCATTCTGTGTGTCCTTAGCTAAAGTACTGAATCTCCATGGTCTAACTTTCTCCTCTCTAAACTGGGAATAATTTTACAGTGGGCAAAGATAATTGAGAGAATAAAAAGAGATGTGATGAGTGTGAAAATTCTCTGTAAATTTGTCATAATGTCTATAAACATAATCGATAAAACATTGTATAACTGGGTCTTAATATTTTCTTAATGAAAGAGCTGGAAATAACTGTACTGGTCAATTTAGAATAAAGGTAATCTTTTCAGAGCATGCCTTTGTATACACACTTTGTTATTAGTGATCTAGTAATGTTCATAAATCCAGTTGTATTTAGATCTTCATGACCATTGACTATCAGTTCCCATTTCAGGTCTGCACATTGCAGTGGTTCTGTGCCCTGGGTCCATTCAGTGATTTCCCTGTGTTCCATCTTCTGTTGAATCCACAACTGTTGTTCTGTGTATAATTTCTCTTCCTTGCTGTGTATGATTACATTCTATTATTTGTAACAATAACAGACCAAAAACAATAGAAGCAGCCATGTCTGGAGGTGACTGGAAGGTGGAGAAGCCATAGATTTTCAAGCCCTGTGCCATAAATTATGTGAGATTGGCCCTTTCCTTAATAGTGCTGAACAACTTTCACTTGTGAGGTGATGCAGAGGGGAGAACTCTAATTTTTATTTCTTCTTTTGAGCGTCTCCGGTCCTCTTATCCTTATAAACAAATAACGGACTTCTATTTAATGTGAAGCCTGTTGCTTTCTGAACAGAGTCAAGGTGGCGTATCTTCAGAGTAACTAATGTCTGGGGTTTGTTTTGTTTTTCTAAAATTGTTCTTGAGCCAGCTGTGGTGTAAGTGGTAATGAACCCCAATGGGTATCAGAAGATCTCTGCTCAAATCCCGGTTTTACCGGCAATGAGCTGTGTGGCACTGACAGGTGTCCTGTTCTCCCAGAGTTTCTTTCCCAATTTGAAAAATAAAAAATGATAATCTTTATACTCCAGTCTCTTTTAATGATGAATATACATTTATATATATACTTTTATATATTTAATATAATATTTAATAGTATAAATATGTATTTATGTTATTATTATGTAATAATGTATGTAACACTCCCTGCTAATTCAGTTTGTCTCTTTGACATGTAAAGTAAATAATCACCTATTATTATAATAATGTAATAATAACACAAATATTATTATGTAATAACATATATATTTATGTATATTGTTTATATACATTTAAATATATATAAATATACATTTATTAGCTAATAATTTGATATATGTATGGTAATTCAACATGTATGAGTTATATTCACTATTTCATGTTTAGGCAGCTGTATTTTAAGTGAACTATACTAAATATTTGAAAGGCTTTTGTTATCAAGGGCTAAGTCTCCTATTTTTTGATATAGCATTACAATGTACATTTTTTATACACAAAATATAGAATACACTGATTTCCCTCAAGGTCATAAATTCCCAACTGGTCATTAATCTGAGAATATTGAATTTTGAGTATATTCTAACATAGAATCATTTACTTCAGTGTTTCTCCATCATCACAGCACATTGGAACAACCAGGGACTTTTAATTAAAAATACCTGGGCTCCAATCCAATACAATTAAACCAGAATCTCCTAGATTGGCACTGGAAAGAAGGAGTAGGACAAAAGAACATTTTATTTCTATCCATGGGCCAAAGTCCACTCAGAAAAAAAGTATAAATTGGATCTAGGTGATTGTTTACTTTACATGTCAAAGAGACACACACTAAATTAGCAGGGAGTGTTATAAAAACTTTGGAGTGCAAGCTCACAGCTGTCTTAATAAGAAGAGAAGGCTTCAATGGAACCTTTTGTGGTCCTGGTGCTGTGTCTCTCTTTTATGCTTCTCTTTTCACTCTGGAGACAGAGCTGTAGGAGAAGGAAGCTCCCTCCTGGCCCCACTCCTCTTCCTATTATTGGAAATATGCTACAGATAGATGTTAAGGACATCTGCAAATCTTTCACCAATGTAAGTCTGCCTTATGTTCCTCCAGCCAATTGCAAAGGGTAAGTTATTTGACTGCTATTTTTAGACAAAATATATTCCTGGAAGCACACTATTATAATAGATCATTGTAAAGCAAAATACTCCCTCTGAACTTCTTTGATGTTTCTTTTGTCTTCCTATTTTTTTTTTTTTTGAGACGGAGTCTCGCTCTATTGCCCAGGCTGGAGTGCAGTGGCACTATCTCCACTCACTGCAAGCTCTGCCTCCCAGGTTCACACCATTCTCCTGCCTCAGCCTCCCCCGAGTAACTGGGACTACAGGTGCCCTCCACCATGCCCGGCTAATTTTTTGTATGTTTTAGTAGAGACAGGGTTTCACCGTGTTAGCCAGAATGGTCTCAGTCTCCTGACCTCATGATCTGCCTGCCTTGGCCTCCCAAAGTGCTGGGATTACATGTGTGAGCCACCGTACCTGGCCTCTTTTGTCTTTCTAAGTCTGTCATTGTCAGAAATAGCGGAGTGAGTTGATGCATTTTGTGAATACAGAAACATTGGGGTCATTGTATTATATAATCATTTAATACAGTGGCAAAAGTTTAAAGTGCTGTTTCTCCTCTTTGTTTCACAGTGTTTTGCTATGATTTTTGACTGAAGGTGAAGGGAAGTGTGTGTGATTAGAAATTTCATCCAATAAGTTCTCTACTATAGTAGTCATGTGTTTTATTCAGAATGGTCATGAAAATTGAACTTCTCTGAAGATTCATTTGATGGCTGATGTGAAATAAATATCTGTGGGTTCAGGGCAAACATAAGTGCATGAAAGAAAGAAGTAATCAGTCAGGGCCCAATAGGTAGTTAACAGAATTCTTTTGGATTCTGAAGAAAGCCACTGTCTGTGGCCAAGGTTGCTGGAGAATGGAAGAAATTGTTCTTCCAGGAGATGCTGAATGTCCTGATTCTAACTTTGTGGTGCTTCATCGTTCCATATTGGTAATACCAGCAGTTACAAACTGGACTGGGCATTAGAATCACCTGGGGTGACACTGTAAATACAGATTTCTAGGGTTCATCACAGGACTGCTGTATCAGAATCCTCATGTTAAGAGCTTTACAAGTGACCCTGAAGTCTTTAGCTGGGTAGTGGCCTCAAGGTGGACATGGGGGATTGATTAATTGCTCAAGCATCAGTTTAAATTAGCAGAGATTCCAGTTTGGAGCTTCTACATATTACCTGTGGGACTCTGAGAATGAATCTGCAATTCTCTGGCCTCAGTTTCTTCATTTTTAAAACAGGTCAAATGAATGTGCTGAATGTGTTGAAGTGAGGATGAACTGTGTGATTTGTGTACCAATTGCCTGGGTCATTGCGTGGCACATCACAGGCCATCTATAAGTGGCAGCTATAACAATCACCATCACATTTATGTACAAAATTCAGAAATATCGAATCTATGTGTGGCAAATATGAACATTAAAAAATACAATGAAAATGTCAGTCTGAATCATACATAGTATTTGGAGCAAATAGCGACTTATTTTGCTGCTATTTGCATTTCCTTTCCCAGTTCTCAAAAGTCTATGGTCCTGTGTTCACCGTGTATTTTGGCATGAATCCCATAGTGGTGTTTCATGGATATGAGGCAGTGAAGGAAGCCCTGATTGATAATGGAGAGGAGTTTTCTGGAAGAGGCAATTCCCCAATATCTCAAAGAATTACTAAAGGACTTGGTAGGTGCACATATTTCTGTGTCAGCTTTGGTAACTGGGGTGAGGGGGATGGAAAACAGAGCCCTAAAAAGCTTCTCAGCAGAGCTTAGCCTATCTGCATGGCTGCCAAGTGTTGCAGCACTTTCTTCCTTGGCTGTGAATTCTCCCAGTTTCTGCCCCTTTTTTTATTAGGAATCATTTCCAGCAATGGAAAGAGATGGAAGGAGATCCGGCGTTTCTCCCTCACAACCTTGCGGAATTTTGGGATGGGGAAGAGGAGCATTGAGGACCGTGTTCAAGAGGAAGCTCACTGCCTTGTGGAGGAGTTGAGAAAAACCAAGGGTGGGTGACTCTACTCTGCGTCATTGACCTTAACAGTTACCTGTCTTCACTAGTGACGTCCTTGGAAACATTTCAGGGGTGGCCAGGTCTTCATTGCGCATCCTGGTTGTCAGCCCTCAGGTGGTGGAGGGAGATTTGAAGCACAGAGACAAGGGAGGTTTTGTGTATCTGTGCTTTGCCTGTATAAATGTGTTGGTTCATAGGGTGTAGGAATAAAAGGTCATTTAATCCTATTTTCTGCTCAATTTTGTTTCCTTGTTTTCAAATCAGAAATTATAAATAAGGGTCTTGAGTTCATTTTTGAAGAGTTAAAGAAGGTTTCCCCCATAGCATAAATCTGCATTACCTCCACCAGAACATTTCACCAGAGAACACTTGGAAAGTGGACATGGTGAAAGTGACCTCATCACACTTCATGAAATATGAACCAAGTTATATGTGCTTTCATTTAATTCGAGTTTTTTCATATGGTCATACTCACATGTCTGGAAATTCCTTCCAGGTCCATGCCTACAGCTCTGGCCAGCAATGACACTATGTATGGTTTTACTTGCTTAGGTATATCTCAGTACAGTTTTCATCAGTTCTTATTTCTCGGGAAACACAGTACTATTTGAAAACTGTCAGGATTAATTATTTCTTGTTAACCACTACTTACTGTAGCAATTAATATATTTTAAGTAAATATAATCTATAGTATAACTCAGCAAATACACAAACACTAATTTGTAAATAATTTGTTTAACTAGATTTTAACTATTATGAAAAACTCTTTATCCTGTCTTCTTTAAATGTAATTTGGCTATGTTTTCAGTTTTGTCATCTTTTTTCCCCTGTATTGGTTCTTAGCTTTGAAATTTGTGCTAATCATTTTTCTCCCACTGCCAATTTACTCACCTATGAAGTGCTTGTTATAATCAATCTGATTATCAGCTGGGATATAAAATTACCTTTTTAAATTCACTCTCCCAAATGCAGTAAAAAAAAAAAAACCTGGATATCAGATTGTACCTGAGAAACACACACACACACACACACACACACACACACACACTCTCTCTCTCTCTCTCTCTCTCTCTCTCTCTCTCACCAAGGCTTCCCAAATTACCTTTCACCCCCTTGGCTAAAACAACAGTTTTTCTGAAACTTTAGAGCCCTGTAATGTTTAAAGGAGTCTGGCATAGAAGCAGCTAACTCAGCAGGTTTCTTGTTGTTCAATGTTCCAACTTTATTCACAACCCTTTCATTTCGTGTCACTCTTATTTAGGACCTATAGATGTGAATTTGGGCACCCTTTCCATTTATGTTCACTAGTCACTTGGTTACAGCAATTTCATTTTAGAGATTCCTTCACCGAATAAAAGCCTTTTTAATAATTTCTTTACCTGTAAAATTACAGATTTGGCCTAACTTATGGTCAAATTTAAAACTTTATTAAAACATACTTATCTTGATGACTATACTGAATAATATCCCAGAATCCACAAGAGTAGTTTTGCCCAAATGAATTAAATTTGGAAGATGATTGGAAATGATAAACATTATTTCCAAAGGAAGGAAATTCATTTTTTACAAATTGAAAAAATAAATAAAAAGATTCCATTTATCAATTTACTTTTTGGTTAGCTTTACTGGGATTTAGATTTGAAATAAAAAGTTAGCATTTTACTTATTTAGATAAACAAATCTGTTATACTTAATGCTCATTTATATTAGTTTTTCTTCTCATATCATATGGATGTACTTGCTTTTCACATTTGTTCCCTAAAACACATGAATTCACCCACAATCTCCCTAACTTTATTCCCATTGGTTCAGCACATTATACTTTCAGCTATATGACATTTCTAGGTCCCCAACTTTTCTCTTCCTATCTCTGTGTTTTATTGTCCAGAGGCTTTGCAAACAGACATGATTCTGCTCTAAAAACTTGAATTATTAGGATTTCAAAAAAGTCTTCTTTTTCCTTCCAAAATAAAAGACACTTGGGGTTAAAAGAGTTTAAATAAAGGCAGTGGATGTGAATAACCACATGCGAAATGACATTGTTTAGCTAGCCTGTAATGCTCAACTCATATTTAAGGTAAAAGTAATGTGTTTATTTCATCCATGCTGATTTTTTTTGGACACATGGGGAATTTGTAAGATATTGTTTAAAATTTCTAAATTTCCTTTATGTCTTAACAAATGCAAATCTTTTAAATATTTATTTTTTAATAATTTTTTTAAAAATTTTTAAATCTTTAGCTTCACCCTGTGATCCCACTTTCATCCTGGGCTGTGCTCCCTGCAATGTGATCTGCTCCGTTGTTTTCCAGAAACGATTTGATTATAAAGATCAGAATTTTCTCACCCTGATGAAAAGATTCAATGAAAACTTCAGGATTCTGAACTCCCCATGGATCCAGGTAAGGCCAAGATTTTATTTTCCTTGGAAACCATTTATTCAAGGTTGTAGGGAAGACTTGGTTTAAAAATGAGAAAATTGATACTAAAATGCTTTTATACAATAAAAATGATGTATGAGTGAAGAAAATAATTACCACCTTTGATTTCCTGTTCAAAATTTTCAGCCTCCAATCTTTAGGTACAGAAAATTGCTATATGTGCACAATAAAAATTTCCCCATCAGAAGTGCAAGGGGTCAGGGAATTCCCTTTCCTAGCCAAGCAAAGCTGTGAACAGATGGCACCTGGAAAATTGGGTCACTCCCACCCTAATACTGTGCTTTTCTAGTGGTCTTAGTAAATGGCACACCAGGAGATTATATCCTGCACCTGGCTTGGAGGGTCCCATGCCCACGAAGCCTCACTCATTGCCAGCACAGCAGTCTGAGATCCAACTGCAAGGCAGCAGCGAGGCTGGGGGAGGGGTGTCCACCATTGCTGAGGCTTGAGTAGGTAAACAAAACCACCAGGAAGCTCGATCTGGGTGGAGCCTACTGCAGCTCAAGGAGGCCTGCCTGCCTCTGTAGAATCCACTTCTCGGGGCAGGGCATAGCTGAACAAAAGGCAGCAGAAACCTCTGCACACTTAAATGTCCCTGTCTGACAGCTTTAAAGAGAGTAGTGGTTCTCCCAGCATGGAGTATGAGATCTGAGAATGGACAGACGGTCTCCTCAAGTGGGTCCCTGACCCCTGAATAGCCTAACTGGGAGGCACCCCCTAGTAGGGGCAGACTGACACCTCACAGGGCTGGGTACCCCTCTGAGACAAAACTTCCAGAGGAACGATCGGGCAGCAACATTTGCTGTTCAGCAATATTTGCTGTTCTGCAGCCTCTGCTGCTGATACCCAGGCAAACAGGGTCTGGAGTGGACCTCCAGCAGACTCGCGGCTGAGGATCCTGACTGTTAGAAGGAAATCTAACAAACAGAAAGGACATCCACACCAAAACCCCATCTGTACATCACCATCATCAAAGACCAAAGGTAGATAAAAGCACAAAGATGGGGGAAAAACACAACAGAAAAACTGAAAATTCTAAAAATCAGAGTGCCTCTCCTCCTCCAAAGGAATGCAGCTCCTCACCAGCAACGGAACAAAGCTGGATGGGGAATGACTTTGACGAGCTGAGAGAAGAAGGCTTCAGATGATCAAATTTCTCCAACCTAAAGGAGGAAGCTCAAACCCATCGCAAAGAAGTTAAAAACCTTAAAAAAAGATTAGATGAATGGCTAACTAGAATAACCAATGCAGAGAAGTCCTTAAAGGACCTGATGGAGCTGAAAACCATGGCAGGAGAACTACGTGACACATGCACAAGCTTCAGTAGTTGATTCAATCAAATGGAAGAAAGGGTATCAGTGATTGAAGATCAAACAAATGAAATGAAGCGAGAAGAGAAGTTTGGAGAAAAAAGAATAAAAAGAAATGCACAAAGCCTCCAAGAAATATGGGACTATGTGAAAAGACCAAATCTACGTCTGATTGGTGTATCTGAAAGTGACGGGGAGAATGGAACTGAGTTGGAAAACACTCTGCAGGGTATTATCCAGGAGAACTTCCCCAACCTAGGAAGGCAGGCTAACATTCAAATTCAGGAAATACAGAGAACGCCACAAAGATACTCCTTGAGAAGAGCAACTCCAAGACACATAATTGTCAGATTCACCAAAGTTGAAATGAAGGAAAAAATGTTAAGGGTAGCCATTGAGAAAGGGCGGGTTACCCACAAAGGGAAGCCCATCAGACTAACAGCGGATCTCTCGGCAGAAACTCTACAAGCCAGAAGAGAGTGGTGGCCAATATTCAACATTCTTAAAGAAAAGAATTTTCAACCCAGAATTTCATATCCAGCCAAACTAAGCTTCATAAGTGAAGGAGAAATAAAATCCTTTACATACAAGCAAATGCTGAGAGATTTTGTCACTACCAGGCCTGCCCTAAAAGAGCTCCTGAAGGAAGCACTAAACATGGAAAGGAACAACCGGTACCAGCCACTGCAAAAACATCAGATTGTAAAGACCATCAAGGCTCGGAAGAAACTGCATCAACTAACGAGCAAAATAACCAGCTAACATCATAATGACAGGATCAAATTCAAGCATAACAATATTAACCTTAAATGTAAATGGGTTAAACGCTCCAATTAAAAGACACAGACTGGGAAACTGGATAAAGAGTCAAGACCCATCAGTGTGCTGTATTGAGGAAACCCATCTCATGTGCAGAGACGCACATAGGCTCAAAATAAAGGGAAGGAGGAAGATCTATCAAGCAAATGGAAAACAAAAAAAGGCAGGGGTTGCAATCCTAATCTCTGATAAAACAGACTTTAAACCAACAAAGATTAAAAGAGACAAAGAAGGCCATTACATAATGGTAAAGGGATCAATTCAATAAGAAGAGCTAACTATCCTAAATATATATGCACCCAATACAGGAGCACCCAGACTCATCAAGCAAGTCCTTAGAGACCTATAAAGAGACTTAGACTCCCACACAACAATAATGGGAGACTTTAACACCCCACTGTCAACATTAGACAGATCAACGAGACAGAAAGTTAACAAGGATATCCAGGAATTGAACTCAGCTCTGCACCAAGCGGACCTAATAGACATCTACAGAACTCTCCACCCCTAATCAACAGAATATACATTCTTCTCAGCACCACACCACACTTATTCCAAAATTGACCACATAGTTGGAAGTAAAGCACTCCTCAGCAGATGTAAAAGAACAGAAATTACAACAAATTGTCTCTCAGACCACAGCGCAATCAAACTAGAACTCAGGATTAAGAAACTCACTCAAAACCACTCAACTACATGGACACTGAACAACCTGCTCCTGAATGACTACTGGGTACCTAAAGAAATGAAGGCAGAAATAAAGATGTTCTTTGAAACCAATGAGAACAAAGACACAACATACCAGAATCTCTGGGACACATTTAATGCAGTGTGTAGAGGGAAATTTATAGCACTAAATACCCACAAGAGAAAGCAGGAAAGATCTAAAATTGACACCCTAACATCACAATTGAAAGAACTAGAGAAGCAAGAACAAACACATTCAAAAGCTAGCAGAAGGCAAGAAATAACTAAGATCAGAGCAGAACTGAAGGAAATAGAGACACAAAAAACCCTTCAAAAAATCAATGAATCCAGGAGCTAGTTTTTTGAAGATCAACAAAATTGATAGACCATTAGGAAGACTAATAAAGAAGAAAAGAGAGAAAACTCAAATAGATACAATAAAAAATGATAAAGGGGATATCACAACCGATCCCACAGAAATACAAATTACCATCAGAGCATACTATAAACACCTCTACACAAGTAAATTAGAAAATCTAGAAGAAATGGATAAATTTCTCCACACATACACCCTCCCAAGACTAAACCAGGAAGAAGTTGAATCTCTGAATAGACCAATAACAGGCTCTGAAATTGAGGCAATAATTAACAGCTTACCAACCAAAAAAAGTCCAGGACCAGGTGGATTCACAGCCAAATTCTATCAGAGGTACAAGGAGGAGCTGGTACCATTCCTTCTGAAATTATTCCAATCAATAGAAAAAGAGGGAATCCTCCCTAACTCATTTTATGAGGCCAGCATCATCCTGATAACAAAGCCTGGCAGAGACACAACAAAAAACGAGAATTTTAGACCAATATCCCTGATGAACATCAATGCAAGAATCCTCAATAAATTACGGCAAACTGAATCCAGCAGCACATAAAAAGCTTATCCACCACGATCAAGTGGGCATCATCCCTGGGATGCAAGGCTGGTTCAATATACGCAAATCAGTAAATGTAATCCAGCATATAAACAGAACCAAGACAAAAACCACATGATTATCTCAATAGATGCAGAAAAGGCCTTTTAAAAAATTCAACAGCACTTCAGTCTAAAAACACTCAATAAATTAGGTATTGATGGGACGTATCTAAAAATAATAAGAGCTATTTATGACAAACCCACAGCCAGTATCATACTGAATGGGCAAAAACTGGAAGCATTCCCTTTGAAAACTGGCACAAGACAGGGATGCCCTCTCTCACCACTCCTATTCAACATAGTGTTGGAGGTTCTGGCCAAGGCAATCAGGCAGGGGAAAGAAATAAAAGGTATTCAGTTAGAAAAAGAGGAACTCAAATTGTCCCTGTTTGCAGATGACATGACTGTATATCTAGAAAACCCCATCATCTCAGCCCAAAATCTCCTTAAGCTGATAAGCAACTTCAGCAATGTCTCGGGATACAAAATCAATGTGCAAAAATCACAAACATTCCTCTACACCAATAACAGACAAACAGAGAGCCAAATCATGAGTGAACTTCCATTCACAATTGCTTCAAAGAGAATAAAATACCTAGGAATCCAACTTACAAGGGACGTGAAGGACCTCTTCAAGGAGAACTACAAACAACTGCTCAACAAAATAAAAGAGGCTACAAACAAATGGAAGAACATTCCATGCTCATGGGTAGGAAAAATCAATATCATGAAAATGGCCATACTGCCCAAGGTAATTTATAGATTCAATGCCATCCCCATCAAGCACCAATGACTTTCTTCACAGAATTGGAAAAAACTACTTTAAAGTTCATATGGAACCAAAAAAGAGCCCGCATTGTCAAGTCAATCCTAAGCCAAAAGAACAAAGCTGGAGGCATCAGGCTACCTGACTTCAAACTATTCTACAAGGCTGCATTAACCAAAACAGCTTGGTACTGGTACCAAAACAGAGATATAGACCAATGGAACAAAACAGAGCCCTCAGAAATAATACCACAGATCTACAACTATCTGATCTTTGACAAACCTGACAAAAACAAGAAATGGGGAAAGGATTCCCTATTCAACAAATGTTGCTGGGAAAACTGGCTAGCCACATGTAGAAAGCTGAAACTGGATCCCTTCCTTACACCTTATACAAAAATTAATTCAAGATGGATCAAAGACTTAAATGTTAGACCTAAAACCATAAAAATTCTAGAAGAAAACCTAGGCAATACCATTCAGGACATAGGCATGGGCAAGGACTTCATGTCTAAAACACCAAAAGCAATGGCAACAAAAGCCAAAATTGACAAATGGGACCTAATAAAACTAAAGAGCTTCTGCAAAGCAAAAGAAACTACCATCAGAGTGAATAGGCATCCTACAGAATGGGAGAAAAATTTTGCTATCTACTCATCTGACAAAGGGCTAATATCCAGAATCTACAATGAACTCAAACAAATTTACAAGAAAAAAACCAAACAACCCCATCAACAAGTGGGCAAAGGATACGAACAGACACTTCTCAAAAGGACATTTATGCAGCCAAAAAACACATGAAAAAATGCTCATCATCACTGGCCATCAGAGAAATGCAAATCAAAACCACAATGAGATACCATTTCACACCAGTTAGAATGGCAATCATTAAAAAGTCAGGAAACAACAGGTTCTGGAGAGGATGTGGAGAAATAGGAGCACTTTTACACTGTTGGTGGGACTGTAAACTAGTTCAACCATTATGAAAGACAGTGTGGTGATTCCTCAGGGATCTAGAACTAGAAATACCATTTGACCCAGCCATCCCATTACTGGGTATATACCCTAAGGATTATAAGTCATGCTGCTTTAAAGACACATGCACACGTATGTTTATTGTGGCACTATTCACAATAGCAAAGACTTGGAACCAAGCCAAATGTGCAACAATGATAGACTGGATTAAGAAAATGTGGCACATAGACACCATGGAATCTATGCAGCCATAAAAAAGGATGAGTTCATGTTCTTTGTAGGGACATGGATGAAGCTAGAAACCATCGTTCTCAGCATACTATCACAAGGACAAAAAAACCAAACACTGCATATTCTCATTCATAGGTGGGAATTGAACAATGAGAACACTTGAACACAGGAAGGGGAACATTACACACTGGGGTCTGTTGTGTGGTGGGGGGAGGGGGAAGGGATAGCATTGGGAGATATACCTAATGTATATGACGAGTTATTGGGTGCAGTACACCAACCTGGCACATGTATACATATGTGACAAACCTGCACTTTGTGCACATATACCCTAGAACTTAAAGTGTAATAAAAAATGTATATATGTATAAAAATTTCCCTTCAAAATGGACATGATGTCTTATTCATATTTATAGTTATAATTTCAATCAGGGCTTGGTGTAAGATACATATATCTTATGACATGTTTATATTTAATATTCTTTTCTCTTTTAGGTCTGCAATAATTTCCCTCTACTCATTGATTGTTTCCCAGGAACTCACAACAAAGTGCTTAAAAATGTTGCTCTTACACGAAGTTACATTAGGGAGAAAGTAAAAGAACACCAAGCATCACTGGATGTTAACAATCCTCGGGACTTTATCGATTGCTTCCTGATCAAAATGGAGCAGGTAAGATATTAGCAACAGATCAGTATTTTGATTTCTTGTCCATTTTGTGATTCATCGAATCCTTCTGTAATTTACTAAGGATGTTTAAATGATCAGGCCAGTAATGCTTGACAAGCATCTTAATTACTTATTGTATTTATGGGCCTGCACTAAACATCATGGAAAATACAAAATTGTCCAATGGCTAGAATGCATAGACCCTCTTCTTGAAATAAAAATAATCTACATGAGTAGAATAATATAGACACTGCAGTCAAATGGAAACAATTATAAATAAGTAGAAAATACAAAATATCCTACCACAAACTGAAGATGAATATCAATATTGCACATAGATTATGTGACAATGGAAAAGAATGGCTTATCATAAATGGGCTTCCTGTATGCCCTGCACATTGACATAGCCCTTAATATATTTTCAGTGTGGAACAGAAGAAAGGTTTCAGATGGAATGAGTAGTTTGTGGAGAGGTGAGTGGTGGGAAAGAGTTGGTGGATGGAAGAGAGAAGGTTTAATTTAGTGTAACCTAAAATGAATTTGCACAAAGGAGTTGGAGGTTGATGTTTATCAGGTAACCTGTGAGAGTGAATCCTGTTTTCATTGAACTATTTATTGAAAAAGTATATTTTTTCCTATTGAATTGTCTTGACAACCTCATTAAAAACCAGTTGAGTATAAATGTGAGGATTTGTTTGTGGGCTCTCAATTCTACTCCATTGGTCTGTCTGTCCTTATGTCAGTAGTACCTCATTTTGAAGTCTTAATTACTGTAGTTTTGTGTCAAGTTTTCAAATCAAAAAGTATGAGTCCTCAAAGCTTTTTTCAAGACTATTTGGGCTTTTTTGTGTTCATTCAGTCGCAACAAAAATTTAAGAATAAACTTGTCAATTTCTGCAAACAAGCCCATAGGAATTTTAAGATTGCATTAAATCTATAGATTAATTCAGAAAATTATGACATTTTAAATATTGAGATGAAATTCATATACCATATATCACCCAATTTAAAGTGTACACTTTAATGGTATTTTGTTTAATTACAATACTGTGCAACTGAGGTAGGAGGTGGGAGTCAACTCCAGAGGTGGGTCTTGGACATGGGACCAGATTGATGGCTAGCTAAAACAGGGCCAGGATGAAAGCAGCTTTCAATCATTCCTGCCCACCAGTATGCCGTGTCAATTTACTATTCCCATGGCAACACCCAGGAGTTACCTCCCCTTTCCATGGCACCCAATGATCCAAAAGATAGGACCCCTTCCTTGCACAAACTGTCCCTTAATATGCATGCAATTAAAAGTGGGTATAAAAATGACCACAAAACTGCCCTGAGCTTCTACTCTCTGCCTATATCATAGCCCTGCTCTGCAGGAGCCCTCGCAGAGCTGTACCACTGCCTGTTCAACAAAGCTGTTTTCTTCTACCTCTGAGTTGCCTTTGAATTCTTTTCTGGGCAAAGCCAGGAACCCTCCCAGGCTAAGCTCCACATTGGGACTCGCCTGCCCTGCATCACAACTACCATTCCTCTCTACTTTCAAAACTTTTTTATCACTCCACAGAAACATACTATATCATTAAATAGTTACACCTCATTCCCAACTCCATCATGTAGTAAACATTAATCAACTATCTTTATGGATTTGCCTATAATGAGTATAACATTTGACCCATGGCATATGTGATCTTTTTTCCTGGCTTCTTTCACTTAGCATAATGATATGGAGGGTCAACTAAGATTTAGCATGTGATAGTACTTTGTTGTTTTGTGTGGTTCAATAATATTCCATTTTCATGTACACATATGACAATTTGCTTATCATTCATCTGTTGATGATCATTTGTGTTATTTTCACCTTTTGGCTCTTATAAATAATGTTGCTATGAACATTTGTATACAAGTTACTTCATGAATATATTTTCATTTTTCCAGGGTATAGTCCTAGGAGTGTTATTTCTGGGTCATATGGTAATTTTATGTTTAACTTTTTGAGAAACAACTAAACATTTCTACAGTAAATGCACCATTTTAAAATCCCATCAGCAATGTTTGAGGGTTCCTCTTTTCCATATTATAGCCAATATTTGTAATTTTCTGTTTTTTGTGTCAGTGCAAAGTGGTATTTCATTGTGGTTTTGACTTGACCTATGATATTAATTAGCTTTTTACCATTTTTACATGTTCTTTAGAGAAATGTTATTCAAGGCCCTTGTTCATTTTTATTTTATTTTATTTATTTATTTTGGAGACAAGGCCTCTCTGTGTTGCTCAGGTTGGAGTACAGTGCTGTCATCTTGGCTCACTGCAACCTCTGACTCTTGGTCTCAAGTGATTCTCCTACCTCAGCCTCCCAAGTAGCTAGGAGCACAGGCACAAACCCCCACACCCAGCTAATTTTTGTATTTTTTTTGTACAAACTTGGTTTCACCATGTTTCCTAGGCTGGTCTCAAACTCCTGAGCTCAAGCAGTCCACCCATGTTGGCCCTCCCAAAGCACTGGGATTGCAGTTGTGAGGCACCACACCTGGCCCTTTGCTTATTTCTATACTGGGTTGCTTGTCATTTGTTGTTGAACTGTAGGTAATTGTTTATGGATTCTGGGCATTAAACCCTTACTAAATACGTATGAAATACAAATATTTTCTCCCATTCTACAGGTTGTCATTTCACATTTTTAATTTTGTCCTTTGATGAACAAACATTTTAATTTGGTGAGGCCCAGTTTATCTCTCTTATTTTAGTTGTTTTGGTGTCAAATCTATGCATCCACTTCCAATTCTGAAGGCATTAATATTTAACCGATGTTTTATTCTAAGAATTGTATAGTTTTAGTTCACATTTAAGTTTTTCGTTCACTTTCAGTTATATTTTGCATAAGAGTGAGATAGGGGTTCAACTTCATTCTTTTGTATGTGGCTACCCAGTTGTCCCAGCACTGTTTGTTGAAGAAACGCTTCCTTTATTTATTTATTTTTTTTTGAAACTCTTCCTTTAGATTAAATGATCTTGGTACATTTGTTGAAAATGAACCGGGCATAGATGATTAGGTTTATGTTTGGATTTCAATTTTATTCCACTGGTCTTTATTTCTTTCCTTTTGCCAGTACCATGCTGTTTTGACTACTATAGTTTTGTTTTGAAGTCTGGAAATTTGGAAATTGAGTCCTCTCCCTGTAGTTGCATATAAATTCAGGATTGGCTTTTCCATTTTTGCACAAATAAAAATTTTAAAAAGGACATTGGAATTGTGACAGTGATTACATTCAATCTTTAGATTACTTTTGGAAGCATTGCCATCTTAACAATTTTAAGTCTTTCATTATTATTATTATTATACTTTAAGTTTTAGGGTACATGTGCACAATGTGCACATTTGTTACATATGTATACGTGTGCCATTTCAATCCTTTAAAATGACATGGTTTGCCATTTATTTAGATACTCCTTATTTTTCTAAGCAACATTTCATAGTTTTCAGTCTTTTATCTTCTTGATTATAGGTTCTCAGGGCTTTTGGCCCTTTTGATGCTATTGCAAATGTAACTATTTCCTTGATTTTATTTTCATATTGCTCATTGCTGATATAAACAGACACAACTGATATCTGGACCAATCTTACATCCTAAAATTAAGCTGAAAACATTTATCAGCTCTAGTTGTTTTTTGTGGGTTATATGGACTTTTCTTTATATATAATTGTGTTATCTTAAAATAGAAATAGTTTTACGTCTTCCTTTCTTACCTAAATGCCTTTTATTTCTCTTTCTTGTCTAATTGTTTTGGCTAGGACCTTAAGTGCTATGCTGAATAGCAGTAGTGAAATTGGATATACTTGGATCTTTTCCCCCTGATTTTGGGGTATAAGCTTTTAGATTTTCACAATTTGATATAAAATACCTTTGGAATTTTTATAAATACATTTTCTCATAAGAAATTTCCCTTCTATTCATATCTTTGAGTGATTTTATCAGGAAAAGTATTGAATTTTGTCTTATGCTTTCTCAGCTTCTATTCAGATGGTCTATCTTGTTAGATTTTTCCTTTCTTTCTAATATGGTGGTGTATTACATTGATTGATTTTCTTATTGAAGCACTCTTGCACTCCTCATATAGATCCCATTTAGTTATGGCACATAATCCTTAATTTTTTTTAAAAAAATCCATAATATACAAGTTGCTACATTATTTCTCTTTCTTGTCTAATTGTTTTGGCTGGGACCTTAAGAACGATGCTGAATAGCAGTAGTAAAAGTAGATATACTTGGGTTTTTTTACCCCCTGATTTTAGGGCATAAGCTTTTAGATTTTCACAATTTGATATAAAACATCTTTGGAATTTTTATAAATACATTTTATTATGATAAGGAATTTTCCCTTCTATTCATATTTTTGAGTGATTTTTTATATTATACTTTAGGTTCTGGGATACATGTGCAGAATGTGCAGGTTTGTTACATAGGTATACATGTGCCATGGTGGTTTGCTGCACCCATCAACCTGTCATCTAGGTTTTAAGCCCCGCATGAATTAAGTATTTGTCCCAGTGCTCTCCCTCCCCTTGCTCCCCACCCCCCAACAGGCCCTGGTGTGTCATGTTTCCCTCCCTGTGTCCATGTGTTCTCATTGTTCAACTCCCACTTTTGAGTGAGAACATGCAGTGTTTGGTTTTCTGTTCCTGTGTTAGTTTGCTGAGAACGATGTTTCCAGCTTCATCCATGTCCCTGAAAAGGACATGAATTCATTCTTTTTTATGGCTGCATAGTACTCCATGGTGCATATGTGCCATATTTTCTTTATCTAGTCTATCACTGATGGGCATTTGGGTTGGTTCCAAGTCTTTGCTATTGTAAATAGTGCTGCAATAAACACACTTGTACATGTGTCTTTAGAGTAGAATGATTTATAATCCTTTGAGTATATACACAGTAATGGGATTGCTGGGTCAAATGGTATTTCTGGTTTTAGATTCTTGAGGAATTGCCACACTGTCTTCCACAATGACTGAAGTAATTTACACTCCCACCAACAGTGTAAAAGTGTTTCTATTTCTCTGCATCATCGCCAGCATCTGTTGTTTCCTGACTTTTTAATGATCACCATTCTAACTGGTGTGAGATGGTATCTCATTGTTAATTTTATGTGTGGATATTGTAAATGGGATTACTTTTTAAAATTATTTTTTAAATTGTTCGCTGTAGGAATATAGAAATACTACCGATTTTTGTATATTATTTTGTATCTTGCAACTTTACGGAATTTGTTTATTATTTCTCATAGTTTTTTAGTGGAGTCTTTATGTTTTTTTAAATATAAGATTATATTCTCTGCAAATGAGTATAATTTGACTTCTTCCATTCTAATTGGGATCCCCTTTGTATCTTTCTCTGATTGCTCTAGCTAGGTATTCCAGTACAATGTTGAATAACAGTGGTGAAAGTAAGCATCCTTGTTGTTTTCCAGACCTTAGAGGAAAGGCTTTTAGTTTTTCCCTATTTAGTATGTTACTAGCTGTTGGTCTTTTGTAGATAGCTTTTACTATGGTGAGGTATGTTCCTTCTATACCCTGTTTTTTTTAGGGCTTTTACCATGAAGGGGTGTTGAATTTTATCGAATAATTTTTCAGTATCAATTGAAGTGACCATATGCTTTCGTTCTTTATTCTGTTGATATGATGTACCACATCAATTAATTGGCATATGTTAAAGCACCCTTGCATACAGGGATAAATCCCACTTGGTTGTGATGAGTGAGCTCTTTAATGTATTCATTAATTTGGTTTGCAGCTATTTTCTTGAGGATTTTTGCATGAATATTCCTCAGAGACATTGGCCTATAACTTTTTTTTTTAATGTGTCTTTGGTTTTGTTATCAGAGTAATACTGGCCTTATAGAATTAATTTGGAAGTATTCCCTCCTTCACTATTTTGTGGAATAGTTTGAGTAGGATTGGTATTAGTTCTTTAAATATTTGCTAGAATTCATCATTGAAGTCATTGGGTCTTGAGCTTTTCTCTACTAGGATGCTTTCTCTTGAGTTCAATCTGATTATTTGCTATAATTTTGTTCAGGTTTTGGATTTCTTCATGGTTCAATTTCAGTAGGTTGTATGTATCTAGGAATTTGTTCATTACTTCTAAGTTTTCCAATTTATTGGTATATAGTTGTTCATGGTAGCCACCAATGATCCTTTGAATACCTGTGATATCAGTTGTAATGCCTTCTTTTTCATCTCTGACTTATTTGGATCATGTCATATTTTTCCTTAGTCTGGCTAAAGGTTTGTCAGCTTTCTTTAATGCTTCTAAAGAACAACTTTTTGCTTTGTTAATATTTTGTATTGTTTTCTTTATTTCAATTTATTTCTGCTCTGAGTTTATTATTTCTTTTCTCCTACTAATTTTGGGTTTGGTTTGCTCCAGCTTTCGTAGTTTTTTAAAGTATATTGTTAGGTTGTTTATTTGATGTTTTTCTTCTATTTTGATAGTTGACACTTACAGCTATTAACTTTATTCTTAGTACCACTTTTGCTGAATCCCATAGGTTTTGATATGCTGTGTTTTCTCATCATTTGTTTCAAGAAATTTTTCAATTTTCTTCTTAATTTCTTCATTGTCCCACTGTTCACTCAGAAGCATATTGTTTAATTTTCATGTATTTGAACTTATACAAAATTGACTTAAGCTGGATTAATGACTTAAATGTAAGCTCCAAAACTATAAAAACCCTAGCAGAAAATCTGGGCAATACAATTCAGGACATCTTTGGGAGTTTTATTATTAAATTCCTGGAAGTAGTCTTCATTGGGTTTAATCTGCTTGGTGTTCTATCAGCTTCTTGTACTTAGATAGTGATACCTTTCTCTAGTTTTGGAAAGTTCTCTGTTATTTTCCCTTAAATAAATTTTCTACTCCCTTCTCTTTCTCTACCTCCTCTTTAAGGCCAATAACTCTTAGATTTGCATTTTGAGACTATTTTCTAGATCCTGTAGGTGTGCTTCATTGTTTTTTATTCTTTTTTCTTTTGTCTCTTCTAACAGTATTTTCAAATAGCTTGTGTTAAAGCTCACTAATTCTTTCTTCTGCTGAATCAATTCTATTCTATTATTCTACTAAAGACTCCAATGCATTCTTCAGTATGCCAATTGCATGTTTCAGCTCCACAATCTCTGCTTGACTCTTGTAAATTATTTCAGTCTCTTCGTTATGTTTATCTGATAGAATTGTGAATTTCTTCTCTGTGTTATTTTGAATATCTTTAGGTTTCCTCAAAACAACTATCTTATATTCTCTGGCTGAAAGATCACACATCTCTGTTTCTCCAGGATTGGTCCCTGGTGCCTTATTTAGTTCGTGTGGTGAGGTCATGTTTTCCTGGATTTTCTTTATACTTGTAGATATTCATCGGGGGCTGGGCATTCTAGAGTTAGGTATTTTTGTTGTCTTTGTAGTCTGGGGTTTTTTTTGTACACATCCTTCTTGTTAGGCTTTCCAGATATTAAAAAGGACTTAACCTATTTTCGATTTGCCCCTAGAATACTGCACCAGCAGTGAACTGCACTTTTTTTAATAAATGGGAAATGAGTTAAGTGTTGTGATCTAAGCTGTATCTGCTTTAGGGGCACTCCAAGCCCAATAATGCAGTGGTTCTTGAAGACTTGTAGAGGTACTGCCTTGATGGTCTTGGACAAGATCCAAGAGAATTCTCTGGATTACCAGAAACTCTTGTTCCCTTCCCTTAATTTCTCCCAAATAAACAAAGTCTCTCTCTCTGTTCTGAGTCAATTGAAACTGGGGATGGAATGACACAAGCACTCATGTATCCACCACCACTGTGACTGCACTGGGTGAGACTTAAAACAAGCAGAGCACTGGGTCTTGCCCAAAGCTTGCTGCAACCATTCCCTGGCTACTGCCTATGTTTCCAAGGATCTGGGGCCCTACAATCAGTTGGTGGTGAATCCAGCCAGGCCTGTGTCCTTCCCTTCAGTGAAGCAAATTCTTCCAGTACCCAGGCATGTCCAGAGGTACCACCCAGAAGCCAGGGACTAGAGTCAAAAACCTTAGAAGTCTATTTGGTGTTCTATTGTACTGCAGCTGAGCTGACACTCAAACCACAAAATGCAGTCCTTCTCACTCTTCCCTTTCCTTTCCAAAGGCAGTGGAATCTCACCCCCTGAGCAGTGCTACCACAGGCCCATGCAGAATACAGACCCTGTACAAGAGCCAAGTCCTGGTTTTGGAGAGTCCAGGAGTGCACTTGGTGCTCTACCCTCCTGTGATCAAGCTAGTACCTAGTTGCAAGACAAAGTCGACTTTATATTTCACTCTGATTTCTCAAGTAGAAGGAGTCTTTCCTGATAGCCAGCTAGCTGGGAATGTGTTGAGTCTTACCTGAAGCCGGTAAGCCTCAGAGACTTACCCAAAGCCCTCAACATAGTACCTGGGTATTGCTGCTAGCTATTCAAGCCCCCCACTCCTCAAGCAGAAGAAAGCAGTTTCTTTTGGAAGTGAAAACTGTGCAGCTTGGGATTAGGAGAGGGGGGATGTCAGCACTCCCTTACCCATCCCCAGCTGCTGTCTCAGTAGGTTGCACCTCCCACCCCAGTCTACTGTCTCTGGGCCCAGTTCAGCACCAGGACTCACATAAAAGTTACAGTACTTGTAGCCAACACTGCCTTTCAGGTTTATTTACCATCCCAGAGCCCTATAGTCCACAGTGATGAGGCTTGTAGAAACTCGGTTCCAACCACTGGTATCAGAGATTCACCTCTGGCCAGGGCTGGTTTAAATGCTCCCTCTGTGAGTGGGCATCAGCTGATTTTGGGCCTGTTTTCCTTTCTGCCTTAACAGAACTGCACTAATTTTATGCTCTATAATTGCTGTGCTCTCCCTCCCTCAGTACTCAGAAATACTCTCTGAACCATGCCACTGCTGCCAGGGGAAGAGAGGATGTCAGTAATTCAATAGTATTTTTTCTATCTCTTCATTTCCTCTTTCAGTGATATATATTTAAATCAAGGTGCATGCTCATCTGATTTTGGTTCTTATGAAGGTACATTTTGTGTAGATAGCTGTTAAACTGATGTCTTTGCTTGGGGAATAATCAATGAAGCATTCAATTCTGTCATCTTGCTCCACTCTCCCATTTGTATATCTTCTTTTGAGAAATTTCTGTTCATGTTGTTTGCCCACTTTCTAATGGGATTATTCGGATTTTTTTCTTGCTGTTTTGAGTTTCTTGTAGACTCTGGAAAATAGTCCTTTGTTGAAGGTATATTTTGCAAATATTTTCTCCCATTCTGTAGGTTGTATGTTTACTCTGCTTGTCATTTCTTTTACTGTGCAGAAGCTCTTTAGTTTAATTAGGTCCCATTGTCAACTGTTTTTGTTGAAATTGCTTTTAAACATTGAGTCATAAATCCTTAGCCTACACCAATGCTCAGAAGAGTTTTTTATAGGTTTTTTCTAGAATTTTTATGATTTCAAGTCTCATATTTAAGTCTTTAGTCCATCTTGAGTTAATTTTTGTATGTGGTGAGATATAAGAATCATATTTCATTCTTCTACATGTTCCCCTGGGTAATATCAGCCAAGCACAAATCCCACAGCTACCAGCGTAGGTGGCTCTTTCCTGCAAGAACCACCTCCTAGCTGGAAGCCAATAGGCACAGCCTATTACAACATCTGCTGGCAAAATAACATAGCATTTGGGAAGGAGAAAACTTTTATCGTATCTCAGCTAACACCATACCCACATCACCCCAGCTAATCGGAAGGTCTTGAGTGTGTTCACAAACCCAATACATTGCTAGTACAGCTGGCATTTGAGAAAATTACCACACTAAACCTATTTATAACCAAGTAAATCTTACAAAGTCTATGTCACTCTCTTGCCACCTCGATCAGAGGTGGTGCTTGCACCTGCTGCTAGGAGACCAGAGGACAGTTAGGCCCAGTTAAGCCCCATTCAACATTGCCCTCCTTTGTAGCAAAGAGTGGAACCCAAGCACTGTACATCTCTCAAACCTTTCCACAGCCTGAGGCATCAGAGATTTCCAGTTGGCTGACAAAGATGTCAATGTTCAATTATCCTCAGAAGGAAGAGCCAATATTACAGGTGAATAATCATAAGCCAAATGGACTGTTAAAGAGAGAGCAATGGAGCTTATTGGTCAATTCATAAGAAGAAAGAATCTACAACTCACAAACACGCACACACACATACACACAAATAAAGTAAAAAGAAGCTGGCAGAGGTGAAACCCTGAGAGACTTAGTAATCCATGGAAAGGGCAGGTAGGAGTGTTCTCAGCCTCCCTACCCAATTTGGCAGACTGCTGGGATCTGAACTCAAGGTGACCTTCCTTGCCTTCATGAGCACAAGTACTGGAGTAGGCTGTGGTTTTGAGACTTCTCGAGGATATTACCTTGTTCACACAAGGTCCCTTTCCTTTTCCTTGGATCTGAGCTGTTTTTAACTATTTTGGTAGAATTCACTAGTGAAGTAATCTTGAGCTGGAACTTTTTTTGAGGGGGGTGGAGTTCTTGATTACTAATTCAAATAATTTTCTTATTGTAGGTGTATTCACACTTTCAATTTATGAGAACTTTATTCGATTAGTCCCTTGGCCTTGGCATTTGCATTGCCCCTACTCTTCTTTATCCAATATAGGCAGTTAATGCCTCAAGTTTTTGTATTAATAATTGCCATTTCTCTTCACTTTGTATTTTCCTATTTATTCCTGAACTTATTCCTAAGAATAAGTTGCCTGTTGCCTATCTGGATTACAACTTTGTTAGACCTGTCTTGTCTTTGTGAACTCATTCTCTTTCACTATATTTCATTCTTGGTTTTGTTGACATATTTGTTTTACACATTTCAGCTTTGTAATGAATATGTAGGTGATACTGAGTCTTTGTAAATTTTTGACAGAAGAAAATTGCAAACTCTTGATTCAAGAGTGTAACACTTTTCATGATATAGCCCTAATTTACCTATATCTATAAACTAAAATTGTGTTCACTTACAAATAATAAAAAAATCATAAAAATGAATGTGTTAGGCTGTTCTTGCATTTCTATAAAGAAATATCTGAGGCCAGATAATTTATAAGAACATGAGGCCCAATTGGCTCACGGTTCTGCAGGCTGTACAAGCATGATGCTTGCATCTGCTCAGCTTTTGGAGAGTCCTCAGGGAGTATTTGCTCATAGCAGAAGGCAAAGCAGGAACAGGCACGTCACATGGCAAGAGGAGAAGCAAGTTGGGGAAACAGTTTTAAAAAACCAGATCTTATGTGAACTCACTTATTATCAGGATAACATCAAGGGAAATAATGCTCATGAGAAATCTACCCCCATGACCCAATCACCTCTCACCAGATTCCACCTATAACAATGGGGATTAAGTTTCAACAAAAGATTTGGGAGAGATAAATATTTATTATCCAAACTATATCAAGAGCTTAATCAAATAGTTGGCTTATATATCTCAAATACAAGAAGTCTTATAGTGGGCTAGACTAGAAATAATATGGTAGCCCTGAAGCATGAGAGAGTCAAGTGCCTTCTTTTTTTTTTTTTTTTTTTTACCATATTTAGTATAGAAGTCTTCATTACTATGATCAAATGCTCATGTCCCAAGATGATGTCAATCCTACCTCCCCCTTCACATTTGTGTTTTGAGTAATGAGGAGAAAAGAGAAGAAGATTCATGTTCTGGTTTGAATGTGTCCTCTACAGTTCATGTGCTAAAAGTGAATGCCCAATGCAACAGTGTTTGTGGGTGCAGCCTAACAAAACATGACTAGGTCATCAGTGTTCTGACCTCATAAATATACTCATGTTGTTATTGCAAGAGTGGGGTAGTTCTTGATAGCTTGTTATAAATGTGAGTGTGCCCCCCCCAATTGCTCTCACTCTTACCCTTTCTTGCCCTTCTACTTTTTGCCATGCAATGAAATAGGATGAAGGCCATTGCCAGAAGCCAGTGCCATGCTCTTGGACTTCCCAGCCTTCAGAATCATCAGAAATAAATTTCTTTTCTTTATAAATTACCAAGTCTATAGTATTCTGTTTTATAACACAAATTGAAGTAAGACAGGGCATCAGTATACTTCTGCTTTTATTTCTGGGGAAAGAAATATTCTGTGTGACTAACCTAAGCAGCGAATGATTTCATGAATGGAACTTGTAGGTCTGTCAGGAAATAAAGTTTGAGTCAACTGATCTGCAGTTTCTGCCATACCACACAGTTGCTTTTTCTAATACTGTACTGTCCAGTATCTCTTTTGGCTAACTTTAAAAAATAGTATGTTTTTTAAAATTTAGTGTATTTAGATATACTGGCACATAATTTGTCAGATAATTGCATGAAATCACTTCTAGGAAAAGGACAACCAAAAGTCAGAATTCAATATTGAAAACTTGGTTGGCACTGTAGCTGATCTATTTGTTGCTGGAACAGAGACAACAAGCACCACTCTGAGATATGGACTCCTGCTCCTGCTGAAGCACCCAGAGGTCACAGGTAGGACCACAGATGATGAACAAAGTGAATTTCAGAACAATGCTGAGAAGATGGTGCCAGTATCCTCCACCTTGTTTCTCTCAGAGAAGGCTCATTCTTTAAATTTCTGTGTCATCAGCTGTAATCTGTCTAAATTTGATGACACAATTTAAAATGACATCTTTGTACAATGGAGGAGGATGACAGAGATCAGTAGAAACAGTATGGCAGTAGCAAAATAAGTAAAGCACTGATGAAGTGTCTGGATTTCAGCAAAGGTAATTTGTGGTAAGGAGAGCCAGCATAAATTGCCCTAGTATTGAATGTTGGTTTTATTATGAAAAGTCCACTTTGAACAGTAGGTTCATTTCTCATTTTAAAAATTCCATGCTCTAATGCTGTGGTGGGGAGATGAAAACAATCTTTATTGAAGCATAAGTGGAAATTCTAGAATTGTACTGAGGCATCCTGACATAAATTCCAGTCTGGGAAGTAATCTAAAAGTTAGTCTCTTACAAAGGTGTTTCTATTTAAGCAGAGGCCATACCTAAAGGAATTTTATTATTCTAGGAGTGTGTTTCATAAAAATGCTATTTGACCAAATAGGGACATTTGGAAGGGGGTTTAATAATTGCATCTTTCACATACAACTTTTCTTTAGAATTTACAATTTACCCTTAGAGTAAACTCTACATTTCCTTAGAATTTACATTTAAATAGTTCCTGCTTTGCAGCAGATAACATACCTTTTTCCCTGTGTCAGGATCCCACTGAAATTTCAATAACTAAATTACAAATTAAAATTATCCTGCTGAAGTGAAAAGAGAGGAGAATAGAAAATAGCCAATAAGTCTTTGGCAAATTTCTAAAACATGGAGAGACAATGGAGGGCTGACAATTGACACAGCATAGAGGATGGAGTTGTAAGTATTAGCAGAGGAAGATTTATCAAGAGGAGAAGCTAATCTGTGTCACTGTGATTCTCATAAGGTTCAGTATTTGGAGGCACCAAGAGCCAAAGACAGTAGGGAATGAGACTGAAAAGGGAGGCTCTCCTGCCCAAGTTTCCTCCATAACTCCTTTTATCAGGTACCTGATTTTTTCCCACTGGGAAAGGGAAGCATACTCTCCAGAGAGACTGAGCCTAAGAACCCCTGTACTCGGCGACACTTTACAGGGCCAGGAAACTGTGAGATGTGAAGACAGAAAAAAAAAAGGTTTGAGAAAGATCTATTCCTCAGATTCAAAGACTCAGCATTTTTCTTCATCTTGCTTCCTGACATTCAGCAGCCAGCTAGATACTCTCCAGAGAAGAAACAAGTCTGGAGAAAAGACCTCCGTATTTTGCCAACTTAATAGAAAGTTATCTATAAATGTCCAGCAGAGTGAATGAAATTAAAACATCCATCACAGGACACAAAGTCATGGAATTTCAGAGCACCAGAAGTAAAGGGAAAATTAAAATCTTTCAGAGAGTTATATCAGGTCATATATAAAATATCAGCATTCAAACAGCATCAGAATTCTCAAGCATACTATCTTGTGTATTCATAGAAAAAAAGTATTTGGGACCTACATGGTTGCTACAAATTTTACCCTCTATACTAAGTTTCTCCAATACTGGGGGTTGTGCTCCATCTCATGTCTGAAACTAAGTCAGAAGAAATAATGGGTGCCAGGAATCAGGAGACCTCATGTAAGAGAATGAGAGTGTCAGAGAGGCTGCTGTGCTCCTAGGAAACAACCACTTCAGAAGGGACCAGGTGAATAATACATGTAGAGGAGACTTCAAGAATCAAAGAGATGTGATTGATAGTCTGAGATTTCCCTATAATTGGGAAATTATTACTAGGAGTTTCAAACATGTGCAAATACTCTAACTTGAAGAATAGAAAATTGTGATTTAACTAAAGAACCAAGGAAGAATGTGTATGTGTGTATATGTGTGTGTGTGTGTGTGTGTGTGCTTCTGTGAGTATATTTAGAATGATGTAAACAATGAATAGTGATATAACCAGAAATTGTGGTCTAAATATATTCTGGTAAGTAGAAGGAGGAGAATTGTGTGTGTGTACGTGTGTGGGTGTGTCTGTGTGTACACATATAACTTTGTGGGCGTGTGTCTATATATGGAATAGAGATGGAGATGAAAATTCTCATCTCTCATACCAGAAAATCATTAAATATTGTCTAAAAATTGTTAAGTAAAAAATAGAAAGAAATAGTGGTTATTTAGAAATACAAATATAAATTTCAGAAGAAACTGCTAGCATGCTCAAAGTGGCCACAATTGGAAATGGAAGAATGAAGACAGTACCATTGCTAATTGCATCACTGCCCCTGCTCCACCACCGCACACACAAATATATTTATAAAACCATTACAATTTAACATTATACCCCATATATTATTTTGATAATACATATTTGATTGTTTTTCTGTTTGCAAGCACTGTAATTTATTGACTTATTATGTTCTGTTTATTTTTTAAATAATGTATTACTTAAATTTGTATTGTCATATATGCTAATTTATAGAAATGTACTTATGCACTGTAATGACTAGTTTGTAGGAGAGTGGTATGTATCTATATTATGGTAATTCTTTTTATATGGCTGGTTGTACTTCTGGACATGTAACTCATGTTTGTAATGTTGCTGGGATTTTTATATCATGTTAATGTGGCCATGAATTGCTATGACAAATGTTCCATATATCTTCGTTTCCATCAGTTCTTTCTTGTGTCTTGTCAGCTAAAGTCCAGGAAGAGATTGATCATGTAATTGGCAGACACAGGAGCCCCTGCATGCAGGATAGGAGCCACATGCCTTACACTGATGCTGTAGTGCACGAGATCCAGAGATACAGTGACCTTGTCCCCACCGGTGTGCCCCATGCAGTGACCACTGATACTAAGTTCAGAAACTACCTCATCCCCAAGGTAAGCTTGTTTCTCTTACACTATATTTCTGTACTTCTGAAATTTCCATAGTGCTGGTTTGGTTCCAACCCTCTAACAACACAAGATGAGAGAAGTGCAAAACTCATACATGTGGCAGCTTGATGGACTTTCTGCTATTTTGTTTGGGGCTATAAAGATTTATAAAGCTAGGTCTCCTTAATAGGCTGCTCTTAGGTGTTACACTTTCAAATAATTGTTGAAAATATCAGTGTGTCAATTTCCCAAAACACTCTTCTGAGATTTTTATCAAAGTGACATTCATTGTGTAGTTCGATATGGAAAGACTTAACATGTTCATGCATTGAATTTTTTAATTCATGAATATGGTTATGCTCCCAACTTATTGAGCTTTATTCTATTTTCTCAGTAATGTCTTATTTTCAGTGCAGTGGTTTACAACTCTTTTATTAGGTTTTTCCTAGATAATTAATATTTTGTTGTGTTATAATTTTTTAATTTTTTTTTATTTCTTTGTAATTGGTATAAGTAATTGTATTCAATTATACTATTCTGATGACCTTATATCTAACAACTTTCCTAAATTTACTGATCATTGCTGATAATTTATCTGTAGATATACTTGGAATTTCTATGTATATTATTTTGCTATCTGGGTTAATATGTATTTTATATCTTATTTTCCAATGATTTTGTCTTCAATTTATCTTTATTGCATTATTGTGCTGGCTAGGATTTTCAGGTTAGCATTGAACAGAATTGGTGATAGAGGGCATCCTTATTTCATTTCTGATCTGCTGGGGGGTAGAGTATAAGAATATTAATATTTCACTACTGAGAATGATGTTTTAAGTATTTTTTTAAAATAATTGACTTTTATTTAACTTCATTTATAAAAGAATTTTCACGAATATGGTTTGAAATGATACTCTACATTTGTTATGAAACAGATAGTTGGTATTTTCATAAAATCCCAGCCCCCAGAAGGCTCATGTCATTCCAAGTGATCAGACTCCTGTACCTTCCCTAAATAAGGCTAGCAAACTGGGGATGGCAGGGAGCAGAGCCCAGAGCACCTTGGTAGTTTTGCACAGATTTTTTTTTTTTTTTTTTTTTTTTTTTTGAGACGGAGTCTCGCTCTGTCGCCCAGGCTGGACTGCGGACTGCAGTGGCGCAATCTCGGCTCACTGCAAGCTCCGCTTCCCGGGTTCACGCCATTCTCCTGCCTCAGCCTCCCGAGTAGCTGGGACTACAGGCGCCCGCCACCGCGCCCGGCTAATTTTTTGTATTTTTAGTAGAGACGGGGTTTCACCTTGTTAGCCAGGATGGTCTCGATCTCCTGACCTCATGATCCACCCGCCTCGGCCTCCCAAAGTGCTGGGACTACAGGCGTGAGCCACCGCGCCCGGCCTTGCACAGATTTTTTAAAAGCCAGTAACTTCCTTCTGGCTGTTCTAAAAGACAAACACTTTGGAGAAAAGTTGTGCAGTAAGGGAAACTATCAAAAATCATTCTCATAGAACAGTAAGGCAGTGAGGCAAACACGATCTCCCTCATGATTTTAAAGTCTGTAATAGAAATTAACAGTGTCATCTGCAGCCCAATTATGCACTTTAAGATCCCAAAAAATTGCTGCTGTTTTAAGTATTTTAGTAGATATTCTTTATCAGAAATCTTTAAGATTTTAGTAGATATCCTTTATCAGATTAGGGAAGTTTTTTCTCTTCTCTCATTTTTATATAAATTTGTGTCATGAATGTGTGTGCAATTTTATCAAATTGATTCTCTGCATCTATTTATATGATTGTATATACTGGCCTCACATCCCTCACTAAATATACATAAGTATACACAAACAGCTGGATTTGTTCTGTTACTTATTGTTCAGGACTTCTGTATTCATAAGATATTTTGGTCTGCAATTTTTCTTCCTCAAAATTTTCTTTTCAGAGCTTTGATAACAAGATAATGCTGGCTGCATAAAACTAGGTGAGAAACGTTCCCTAATGTGGGTCTGTTTTTATTGCTTTCCCTTCCTTCCACTTTTCTTCGTGTGACTGCTTAGTTGTATCCTTGAAATGCCTAAAAACCTATGGCTCAGTACCAGATATTATATATGAAAAAATGCAGAATTTCAGAGAACATTTATCTTTTTCCAGAATGTATTCATTCCCCTCTCATAGGCAATTATAATGACAACACCTCCTGTCCTGATTCAGAATTGAATATGACATGAACACAGTCAAAAATTGACTGTAGGTATGAGCTTACCTCTCTGAAGTTCTTCCGTCACTGGGGCCAATTATTGTCTTTATAATCTGGAGGCCAATTTTGGTCTTTGCAGCTTTACAATGCTGTCTATCACATGGTTTCTGTATTCATCCAGATGTTTTAGTTGCTATGCTATAAACTACACAATTCCACTTATTATTTTTCAATTAAAAATAATAAAGGTTATATCTTCATGAAGGAAAACAATGAGACTGATAAGGTTTCAATTACTAATGTCATCCTCTGGAGAAGACAGAATTGATAACTTATCAAGATGTGATGGGGTTTTCCCTAATTATCACTGATTTTTTTACAAGGATTAGGACTACAATCCACAGTTTTCATCAAAGCACACAACCAGAAGAGGTTTTTCTTTCTCAATACAAGGGTCTATCTACACCTCAATACTGCAGTATGTAATGCCCCAAAACAAAGATTTTTCTTTTACACAATAATAGTCACACTCAGTAGCTATTGTTCAAATAATAATACAGCCTAAATTTAAATTTTCACAATTTTTCTAGAATATTTTTATGGCTTTTTTCTCCTGCAGTTTACTATACAGGCAAGGAACAAGCATATAGTTCATTTATGTTGACCTTTTCACCTCCTGTAATCAAGGAAAGTTCCTTTCCTGGTTTGTTTCTTTTCAATCAGTTGACCTTTTTGAGACCAGCAGTCATTTAAAATGTTCCTCAGGCTGGTTTTGTATGACTGTTTTCTAGAGGCAGATTCCAGCTACAATTTTGGCAAGAAAACTACATAGGTGCTTTAAATATCCTGCTGAATCACATTGATGAGGTGGGAGCATGAAATGTCACATATGTCATTATTGGTCATGCTAAGTTCCCCACATAATAAGGTTGTATCCTCCAGATCTTACCATTGTAGGGGTTCTGCTTTTTATATGCAACTAGTAAAAATCTATGGGAGTGCATTAAGATTATCCGAAACTCCTGCTTCCAGAATCACACACCCAACGGTTCTAGCTTTAATTGATGATCCTTACCTGACCTGATGATCCTGACTTGAATTGTTGCAAAGTGATAATCTTTGTAATTTCATCATCTTTTCAGTGTTTTAAGCTAAAATTAATCTGTAGCATGGCAGTAATAAACACACAATAGTTTTTACTTCTTATTGCACTTGTGGTTGTCATCCCAGATGACATCATATTAAAATAGATTACATGTTTATTTACAAAAGTTCTATGAACAGATACTCTGGACATTTCAAGTGTCAACAGAGACTTCCATTTTAAACCATAATCTACATAATCAAAATACAAGATGTGTCAAATTTGAAGTGATGAAATAGAGCGGCAAATGAGGCCAGAAAAGGGCATCCAAACTTGATGATCTGGAGAACACATTCAGAAGGTTGCACACAAGTATCCAAGATGTAAGACTTCAAATGTGATTGGAAAGCTCTTTAGCAAGCTTCCACCACTGGCCTTAAGCTCATCCATGTAAATTACTGTGTCTGGCTGGACCTGAGTTTCCTCATCTATAGATCAACGTTATGGCGCTACGTGATGTCCACTACTTCTCCTCACTTCTGGACTTCTTTATAAATCAGATTATCTGTTTTGTTACTTCCAGGGCACAACCATAATGGCATTACTGACTTCCGTGCTACATGATGACAAAGAATTTCCTAATCCAAATATCTTTGACCCTGGCCACTTTCTAGATAAGAATGGCAACTTTAAGAAAAGTGACTACTTCATGCCTTTCTCAGCAGGTAATAGAAACTCGTTTCCATTTGTATTTAAAGGAAAGAGAGAACTTTTTGGAATTAGTTGGAATTTACATGGCACCTCCTCTGGGGCTGGTAGAATTGCTATTTGTCCATGATCAAGAGCACCACTCTTAACACCCATGTGCTCCACCCTCACAATACACCATCATTATTGGGCCAGATAGCGGGGCTTGCAGGAGTTAACTCTGTTGTTCCCAATTGAGAAAATGAACATCTTGGTTTGACTGAACTCTGCCACTAGATACATCACTAAGGCACCCAAGAGCTCCTCCTAGAAGGTAAAATTCATCTGATCTTTCCTTACCTGCCTTGACAAATGTATCTAAGTCCACAACTGCATTGAGTGTCTTCTACATGGTGTCTGTCACCTCCCAGGCTGAGCTCCAAGGGCACAACTTTCAATGAGAACAGAGGCTCACTCTTGAGTTAGGGAAGAAGAGTAAACAGGTCATTGTAATTTAGTCAGACCAGGACTGTGAGAGAGGAAAGCACAGGCCCTTGGGTAGCGGCTAGAGGGGGACTCTGCATGCTTCTTGCTCTCTCATATAACACAGTGAGGCATAAAATGGAGTAAGCAACTCAGAGGATGTTTCATGTGCTTCAAAGGAGGTGATAAAATTTAAGGGAAGCTAAGAGGTTACATAAGCTAAGAGGTTATTTTGCAGTGATTCCAGAGCACCCTGTCTTCTTCCAATCATGATCATATATCCTGGATACTTGCTTTTCACACCTGTGTTTTGTGTGCTAAGTCTCTGGCCATGGAATCTCCTTCCTTTATTCTTTGATCTTTTATGTCTGCTTTATATTTGGCACTGTAGATACCAACATGACAAGGACAGAGACCTTCCTTCAAGAATTCACATTTTACCACAATAGATAAATAAATACAGAATTACGATTCCTGGTAATCTGTGCTTTAATGAAAGCATGAGTATGCTGTTGAGGAAAACCAGAGAGCATAGGATTTGATTACTTGAGGGGATTGTAAAGAGTGTGAAGATGAAATGAAATTGAACCTATGTCCTGAATGTAGCCTAATAAAGATGTATCTTAGCCAAAATGAACAACAGGATATGAAACTTGAAACTTCATGGTGTGTTCAAGATTGATGAAGAGAGTGTATGACCAGAGCTGAGAACAGATTATGTGAAAAGTGGAAGGAAAAGTCATGGAATATCAGGCTTGGAACAGGAAACAAGAATGTGCATGTATTTCCATAATGACAGATGGAAACTCAAAATGGCAAAAGAGCTGTTTTAATGTGGGAATAAATAAAGAAATGACTGTTATGGAGCTGATAATCAATGAATATTTGTTGAATGAAGGGTGCCTATTGAGATTAGATGTTAGACAGATAGCAAATATATCTCTTTTTGTACATTTGTTTGTCCCACCATCCATTAATCAATCCATCATGTCATCCATCCATTCATCCACATGTTCATTCATCTACCCAATCATTAATCAATTATTTACTGCATATTCTGTTTGTGCAAGTCACAAATGACTGTTTGTCACAGTCACAGTTAAACACAAGGAGTAACTACTTCCTTTCTTTGTTATCTTCAGGAAAACGAATTTGTGCAGGAGAAGGACTTGCCCGCATGGAGCTATTTTTATTTCTAACCACAATTTTACAGAACTTTAACCTGAAATCTGTTGATGATTTAAAGAACCTCAATACTACTGCAGTTACCAAAGGGATTGTTTCTCTGCCACCCTCATACCAGATCTGCTTCATCCCTGTCTGAAGAATGCTAGCCCATCTGGCTGCCGATCTGCTATCACCTGCAACTCTTTTTTTATCAAGGACATTCCCACTATTATGTCTTCTCTGACCTCTCATCAAATCTTCCCATTCACTCAATATCCCATAAGCATCCAAACTCCATTAAGGAGAGTTGTTCAGGTCACTGCACAAATATATCTGCAATTATTCATACTCTGTAACACTTGTATTAATTGCTGCATATGCTAATACTTTTCTAATGCTGACTTTTTAATATGTTATCACTGTAAAACACAGAAAAGTGATTAATGAATGATAATTTAGATCCATTTCTTTTGTGAATGTGCTAAATAAAAAGTGTTATTAATTGCTGGTTCAGTTCTCAGACTTTCCCTCTTTTGTGCATAATGCAAGAAATAAAGAAAAGAGAGTGCCAGGAGGCCAGGCTTGTCCTCATAATAATAAGCAGATAGTGACAAAGGAGAAGAGGGTGAGGAAGGTCTCTGGATGTTTGTCATCTAGAGTTACTGAAGGTTTGGCTTTATAACAGAGAAAGTCTGTCCAAGGGAAGAAACAACCTTCAGGGAAATATTGAGAAAATCAGTTCAGTTGTGTATTATTTGGAGATAAAATGAGGCTAATTACTTCAGGGCCATAGAATCAAATTACCAATGCATTTATGTTAAGTGTAAAACAAGAAATATAAATTAGAAAAATAATGTAATCTGTTGAGACTTTCCAAGGATTTTGTTCTTGTTTGGAGACAGAAGAATAAAACCCAGAACATATGATTAGCAATATGAAAGTATATATTCATACTTGACTCTAAGTTGAAAACATAAAGTGAAAAAAATTCAAATATTATTAGTGTTCACAATAATACCAAAACAGAGGCATGAATTTAGACACTTAATCTCCATTTCTACTTCACTGATCCACTCATCTTTAACCCCATAGGCGAAAAAATGGAGCAGGGACATGAGGGCACTCAAGCACAAAGCCTCTATAAACAGTCAGAACCAGTACAGCAGGTTCAGTGGTCCTCTTATCAGAATAAAGTTACTGAAATCAGTCTCTTGTCCAATGAAAGCTGTAGCTATGGCTTGTGGAACAGTGGGAAGGGGTGAGCATCTGGTGGAGGCCCGTGCTTGTATAGTTGCTAGAGAAAAATTAAAACCTTGTGCCAGTTAGAACACAGTTTATTCTTTAAGTGTAGAGGTGAATGACCTAACTCTTGCCTGCCATGACCTTAGGTCCTATTTATAAGTTGGTATCTTATTGCCACAAAAAGTCCACCCCATCAGTCTTACGACCTCTATTTTAACACTAATGTTGATGAGTTGTTTTGTGTAAACCACAAAAGAGAGGGGGTCTAAAGAGGCATGTCTGACCTCCCATCCTCTCGTGGCCAGGAATAGTTTTTAAGGTTTTTGCTGAGGTTCCCTTGTCCAAGCAGGCTTAGGATTTATTTTTAGTTTACAATAATTACAAAATTTCAAAGAATCTACCCACAGAATACATCTAAGTTACATAGTTGAGAAGAACCTAGTTACAATGGAGAAGACAGCCACAAACTATCTAAACCTAGTAATCAAATGACATCATTCTGATGAAACACATTGAAATTGTCTATCACTCAAAAATGAAAAGTATCCTCTGTGATATTCCTAGCAGAGATTCCTCTGCTGAATTTAGTCATCAAAAAACATCAGACAGGCCTAAATTGAGGGACATTTTATAAGTATTCAGCCTATACTCTCAAAGAGTGGCAATGTCTTGGAAGTCAAATAATAACTGAAGAACTGCTCCACACTGAAGTTGATGAAAGAGACATGACAGCTAGTTGTGGCATGCGATTCTGGATTCTGAACTAAATTATGAGAGGGACAAAAAGCATATATTTTGGGACTTTTGGTAAAACACCAACAGGAACAAGAATTAGAAAGTTCCAGTGCATTAACATTAATTTTCTGATCCTGATGGTTTTACTATAGTTATATAAGAGAAGCACAAGCACATTGTTTTGAGTAAATACATACTAAAATACCTCAAGTATCTGGAATCAGGTTAGTATTTACTTTCAAAAGGTTCCATGTGAAACAATTATTTGCATGAACAAGCAGTTCTTCTATATACCAGTGATTGTTTTTTTAAAAAATAAAGCCAACAGTGCGCTTATGTATGCAAAATAAACTAGGCTTTCACAAATGAAGGATCACTGTTGACAATGCAAACTTGAATTGCTCAGCATCATTAAGCTTTATGGAAATACAAACTAAAACTTCAATTAGATATTATTATATAATTCATCAGAATGGTTCAAATGAAAAAAGGACACATTATGTTGTCTGTTGATGAGAAAGCGAAACAATCACAGTCTCATGGAAAAATTAGTAAAATAGTTCAACCATTTGGATAGTCCTTTGGCAGAATTTATCTAAAGTAAATACACGCATATCTAGCAATTGCGGTTGTAGGTATGTACTGAACAGAAATGCAACAATACCTTGTGATAGCAAAAAGACATGTATAGGAATGTATATAATAGTGCTATTCACAATAGCCCCACACTGGAAGCAAGGCAAATGTTTGAAGCAATATCATAAAACAATTGTAAAATGCTCATAAAGTGAAACACTAAGAAAAAGATAACAGCTATTTCTGCCTGCAACAACTTGATTGAATGTCACGACACATTAAATGAAAGTACTGGACAGTAAATAAGTACTATTGGATGATTCCATTGATATAAATTCACAAATAAATAAAACTATCATTTTGTTTCTTTTTTAAAAAATGTGTGTTTTTTTTCTCAAGATGGCAGATTAGAGGCTTTAACATACCTCAGCCACTTGGAAATAGAAAAATAGTATATAAAGATCAATTGTGTGAGCTTTAATTCAAGAAAAAATGTGGGAATTCGCTGAAATAGTGAAACACACTTCAGATCCCAAGTGAAGGAGGTGGGAATGCAGGCCCCATGATGGTGTTCAGCTTATCAAAATGGGTGAAGCCCCCAGTATGTGAGAGGGCCAGAGAGTCTCCCTCTCTGAATCTCCTTTCTGCTAGAGATCCAGGCCCCAAACGCTGGAACTAACTTAGAGAGAGGCTGGAAGGTGATGAAAGGGAAAGACATCAGGAAAATCTGCAGGTGTTTTCCCAGACCTGGAACTGAGAAGACAATGCCATTTTAAATCTGCGCTCCTGCAAAGTCAGTCATTGTTTGGTGACCTGGCAGCAGCAGTCACTGCAGGCATTTTAGTCTCAGGCCAGAGACTGAAGCGCTTGCTCTGGAGCAGGGAAAGGGCACCCACAGTCAGAATTGAGCAGTGAGTGTGGTGAGCACCCCAACAGTAAGCACTGGAGTTGAGCTCTCTCCCATCACAGGACTGGAGTGGAAGGAGAGTTGCTGAAATCAAGGTTTCTCTTGGGCATCACGCCTTGCAGTCAGGGACAGCTTTATGACCTGGAACTGGGCTGCCTGTGTCATTGCTGGATGCCCATCCTGCTCCCTTGTTCAGTCATGAGAGAGTGTCCCACCAGTTCTGAGAAACAGGAGACAAGCAAACCACACTCCTGCTTACCTGTATTGGGAGCCTGAGCCAAGCTACCCTTTCCTTACTAAGATCTTGGCAAGGTGGTAGGTGCACCCTCCCCTCCATTCCTGGTCATTTTTCCAAGCATTTGGAGCACCCACTCAGCTGGATTAGCAGCCTGAGCTTCCCCTTCCTTCCCATGAAGAGACCTTGGTGCAGAGGCACACTCTTTGCTCCATGCCTACACATATCACCAAGCTTTGGGTGTACCTGCTCACTGGAATAGGAGCTTGAGCCACCACTTCTTCCCACACAAAGACCTTAGTGCAGTAGCGCTTCCTCTGCTGCACACCCAGACATAACTGCAGGCATTCTGCAAACCCATCCTCAATGATTAGGAGTTTGAACAGCCTCTACCTTCCCATGCAAAGACCTTGTTGTGGTGATTTCTGTGCTCATTCCCTAGTCATGTCACATGCAGCTTGAGGTGCACATACTCCCCGGGATTAGGAGCTTGACTTGCCCCTCTTATCCCCTACAAAGATGTTTTGGCAGCAGTAGTTTTTTTTGCTACATCCCCAGGCATATTTCCAGGCATTTGGTACACTGCTTCCCTGGATAAGGATCCTGAAGTACCCTTCCCTTCAGGTGAAGAGATATTGGTGCAGCCATGGTCTCTGCTTGATGGCCAGAAATATCTCCAGGCACTTGAAGCACCCACTATTCTAAATTAGAAGTTTAGGCCACTCCACCCATGCAGAGGACTTGGGGCAGCCAGGATTTCCTGACAATATGAGTTAGCACACCTCCAGATACCTGACTATGGCCCACTAGACCTGCTTTCAAAGCTGATACTTGTTCCTGACACTAGGAGACCTGTAGGCAGGCCTGTCTCATCTAGCTCCACCTGTCTTGGTCCTCCATTTGAGGGCTAAGCTGGGAGCTCACACAAGTGTGCTTGCCAGTGATCAGCCCATTGCTTGAGGTAACAGAGAGCTTCTACAAGTAAACAAGGATCAAGTATATACACATATGCATTAACCTTAGCCAGCTCTTACCTATAAGTACCACCAGCTGTTCCAGAGTTAGAAATGCATAACACAATAGAAAATCTGATGACACAACCTCACAGCACTGGGGAACAAGATATGCTTTCTGAGACCTCCACACTATAGCCCCAGAGGAGGAAATGAACCTGCTCACATACCCTGTACAGCACTATTTCAACCAGCATTTGGGAAAGCCATTATACAAAGCCTATTTATAACCAAGGAACTTTTACAAACACTTTGCCACTGAAAGCACCCAGAAACAAAGCCAAAGGACCCTAAATAGCATACATAATACACACCTTCTTAAATCTTTTCCCATTAGACAAAAAAAGTGCAGCTTACTTCCAGCATTTATTTAATTTTATGTAAACACTCTCTTTGAGGCTGAAGCAAAGGTGACTGATTTTGAATGTGAAAATAAAATATAAAAACTTTCCTTGGAGTTGTTTCCAAATAGAACTTGTCTCTAATCCTAATGTAACAAAAATGTATGTAAAGATCAGTATTTAATAGTTTTTTTGTGTGGTACATTTCAAAACATAGAACAACATAAAGTGGAACATCACATTCCACAAAAATATACTGCATTTCTTTCTGAATCTTCTTGTCATCCTTGTCATTGTGTGAGCAGCAAATGATGCAGCAACCAGCCAATTCTGTTTCCCTGATGTTGGTGGTATGCTTTTGAGGAAATGTCATCTAGACAGGAAAAGTGGTATGACATCATCACAGCATGGAGGGCCTTGAAGAGGTTGCTGCCCTTGCTTGTGATGCTTTTCCAGCATTCTTTCTATCAATGTGACTCTGAAGTTTGCATGATGAAACATGTGCTCAAGATTGTCCTTCTTGAATAGGATGTAAGAGTTCAGCACAGTAATGTTTAAAAGATGGCAAAAGAATTTCTTATACCAAACCTGGTGTGTTATCTCAGGGTAAATGCTGCAGCTGCAAGGACCAACAGAGAGCGTTCTCAGTGCAAATGGGGAGTGGGTTAAGGGGCAGAATTTTTTATTCAAACAAAAGCCAATTCAAAAAACAAGAAGGAGAAATAACTCATTCAAATGAGAGGGAAGCAGAGAAACAACTCGAAAAGTATGAAAATATGAAGTGTTATAACACCTCCAAAGGATCGTACTAACAAAAATAAAATCTTTGAATACCAAATAAATAATGCAAGGTATTGATTTTAAAAAGCTCAGTGAGGTCCAAGAGAAAGTTAAAGACCAACACAAATAAATCAGAAAAACAATTCATGATATGAAAAAAGAGATAGATATCATTTTTAAAACCAAACAGAACTTCTAGAAATTAAAAAAAAAATCACTGAAGGATTCACAAAATACAGTTGAAAGTTTAACAAAAGACTAGACCAAGTGGAAGAATTTCAGACCTGGAAGACAGGTCTTTTGAATTAATCCAGTCAAACAAAAATAAAGAGGAAAGGGTTTTAAAAGTGAACAATGCCTTTGAAAAATATGGAATTCTGTAAAGCATCCAAAACTACAAGTTACTGGCATTCCAGAGGGAGAAGGAAAAAAACTAAAAAGTATGGAAAACCTAGTTTAGGAAAAGATTCAGGAAAAGTTCCCTGGTCTTAGGAGAAATTTGAGACATTCAGATTCGTGAGGCTCAGAGAGATTCTGGAAGATTTATTGCAAGAAGAACCTCACTATGGCATATAGTCATCAGACTATCTAAAGTCAACACGAAGGAAAAAAATCCTACGAGCATCAAGAAAGACACGTTTAATCACCCATAAAGAAAATCTCGTTGGAGTAATACTGGACTTCTCAGAAGAAACCCTGCATGCTAGAAGAGATCAGGGACTATTTTTAGCATTCTTAAAGAAAGAACTGCCAACCAAGAATTTCATATCATGCCTAACTAAACTTCAGAAATGACAGAGGCAGACAAACAAACATTAAAGGAATTCCTCACCATTAGCCTGGTGCTACAAGAACTGATCGAAAAAGTCCTAAACTTGGAAACAAAATGGGAATACTCACCATAAGAGGACATATGAGTACAAAGCTCACAGATCTGATAAAGCAATTTTACAATTGAAACTCAAAGGCAACTAGCTAACAACACTATGGCAGGAATAAAACATCACATAACAATTTTTTTTTGAGATGGAGTTTTGCTCTTGTTGCCCAGGCTGGAGTTCAATGGTGCAATCTTGGTTTACCGCAACCTCTGCCTCCCAGGTTCAAGTGATTCTCCTGCCTCAGCCTCCCGAGTAGCTAGGATTACAGGCATGTGCCATTAGACCCAGCTAATTTTGTATTTTTAGTCGAGATGGGATTTCTCCATGTTGCTTAGGCTGGTCTCAATCTCCCGACCTCAGGTGATCTGCCTGCCTTGACCTCCCAAAGTCCTGGGATTAAAGGCGTGAGCCACCATGCCTGGCCACATATCAATATTAACCTTGAATGTAAGTGACCTAAATATTCTACTTAAAAGATACAGAGTGGCAAATTTAATTGAAAAAAAAAGGACCTAATCATTTGCTGCCTCCAAGAAACCTACCTACCAGCTAAAATGGCTATAGACTCAAAGTAAAGGGGGGAAAAAGGTATATCATGCAAATGGAAAACTAAAGTGAGCCAGAGTAGCCATGCTCATATCAGATAAAACAGATGTTAAACCTACAATCATAAAAAAAGGACTATAATGATAAAGGGTTCAATACAACAAGAAAAAATAAATATCCTAAATAGATATGCATCCAAAACCAGAGCACCCAGGTTCATAAAACAAATAATACCAGACATAACAAAACAGACTGATAGCAATAGAATGATAATAGGGGACTTCAACAGCACACTGACATGACTAGAAGATCATTGAGGCAGAAAATCAACAAAGAATTTCTGGACTTAAATTGGGCTATAGCCCATATAGACCTAATAGATATGTATAGAACATTCTGTCAAACAACTGCAGAGTATACATTCTTCTCAACTGCACAAAGAACATTTCCAAAGTCCACACTATATGCTTAGCCATAAAGGAAGTCTCATACATTCAAAAAATATCAAAATCATATTGTCTTCTCAGACAACAGTAGAATAAAATTAGATACCAATATGAAGAGGAACTCTCAAAACTAAACAAGTATGTGGAAACCAAACAACTTGCTCCTGAATGACCTTTGAGTAAACAATGAAATTAAGACAGAAATCAAATAATTTTTTGAAATAAATTAAATATAGACACAGTATGCTAAAACCTCTGGGATACAGCAAAAGCAATGCTAAGGGAAAAGTTTATAGTGTTAAATGTCTATATCAAAAAACATAGAAAGATTCCAACTTAACCTAACGTCATACATCATGGAACTAGAAAAATAAGCACAAACCAATCTCAAAGCTAACAGAAGAATGAAAATAAAAAAGATCAGAGCAGAACTAAGTAAGACAGGAAATAACAAAGTTCAGAGCATAAATAAATGAGACTGAGGCCCCCCAAAAATGATACAAAGAATCAATGAAACAAAAATGTGGTTCTTTGAAAGAATAAAAAAAGATAGACAACTACAGCTAGATTAGCCAGGAAATAAGGAAAAGATTTAAATAAGTACTATCAGAAATAATAAAGGTGACATTATAAGTGATACCTCAGAAATACAAAAGATTATCAGAGACTACTAAGAACACCTATGCATACAAACTCGAAATCTTAAAGAAAATAGATAAATTCCTAGACACATACAAACTCCCGTGACTGAACTAGGAATAAATAGAAATCCTGAATATACCAATAATGAGTAATGAAATCAAATCAGTCATAAAAAATCTTTTAGCAAAAAATGCCCAGGACCAGGCGGATTCATAGCCAAATTTTGTCAGTTGTACAAAGGAAAGCTGATACCAATGTTTCTGAAACTACTCCAAAAAGTGAAAGGGCAGTAATTTCTCCTTAACTCATTCTATGAAACCAGTATCACCCTAATAGCAAAAACAATCAAGGACATCCACACAAAAAAGGACAACTACAGGCCAATATTCTTGATGAACACAGATGCAGAAATCCTCAACAAATATTAGCAAACCAAATCAAACAGCACATCAAAATGCTTATACACTGTTGGTGGTAATGCAAATTAGTCCAGCCACTGTGGAAATCAGTCTGATGGTTTCTCAAAGAATTTAAAGCGCAGTCACAATTCAACCCAACAACCCCATTACTGGGTATATACCCAAAAGAGAATAAATAATTCTATCAAAAAGACATGTGCATGCATATCTTCATCACTGCATTATTCACAATAGCAAATGCATGGAATCAAAATATGTGTCCATTAATGGTAGACTGGATAAAGAAAATATGGTACATATGTACTATGAAGTACTATGCAGCCATAAAAAGATTGAAATCATGTCCTTTGCAGCAACATGGATGGAGCTGGAGGCCATAATCCTAAGCAAACTAATATAGGTACAGAAAACCAAATAATAAGCATTTCCACTTATAGGTGGGAATTAAGCATTGAGCATACATAGACATAGATATGGGAAAAAATAGACACTATGGACAACTAAAAGGTGGGAGAGGGGGTAAAAACTACCTATCAGATACTATGCTTACCACCAGGGTGATGGGATCCATACTCCAAATCTCAGCATCACACAGTGTACCAATGTAACAAATCAGCACATGTACCCCTGTATCTAAAACAAAAGCTGACTTTTAAAAAAACCAAACAAATAAGAAAACAGAAATCCTAATCAAGTGGATTTTATTCCAGGGATGCAAGAATGGTTCCACATACACAGAAGAATGAATGTGAGTCACCAAATAAATGCAACTAAAAACAAAAACCATATGATTACCTCAGTAGATATAGAAAAGGCAATGGATTAAATTCAATATTGTTTTATGATAAAAACCCACAACATATTAGGCTTTAAAGGAGCATACTTCTAATTAATAAGACCCTTCTATGACAAACCCACAACCAACACCATATAGAATGTGCAGAAGTAAAGACAATCCCCCTGAGAACTGCAACAAGACAAGGATGTCCACTCTCAGCACTCTCACCGGACATAGTACTGGAAGCTATAGACAGAGCAACCAAGAAAGAGAAAGAAAGAAAAGACATTCAAATTGGAAAAGAGGCACTCAAATTATTTCTGCTAGTTGATGATAGAATCATATGCCTAGAAATATCTAAAAACCCCTTTTTAAGTCTTCTAGACTTAATTAACAACTTCAGTAAACTTTCGGGGTACAAAAATCTGTAGAATTTGTATACACCAATAAGATTCAAGATGAGAACTATATCAGAAAGTAAATCTCATTTAAAATACCCACACATTTGCAAGATAGCCAAACAGAAACAGCTCCAGTCTGCAGCTCCCAACAAGATCAATGCAGAAGGTTGGTAATTTCTACATTTCCAACTGAGGTACCTGGCACATGTCACTAGGACTGGTTAGACAGTGGGTGCAGCTCACGGAGAGTGAGCCAAAGCAGGGTGGGGCATCACCTCACCCAGGAAGCACAAGAGGTTGGGGAACCCCCTCCCTTAGCCAAAGGAAGCCATGAGAGATTGTGCCTTGAGGAATGGTGCACTCTGGCCCAGATACTATGCTTTTCCCATGGTCTTTGCAACCCACAGACCAGAAGATTCCATTGGAAGTCTACACCACCAGGACCCAGGGTTTCAAGCACAAAACTGGGTGGCCATTTGGTCAGACACTGAGCTAGCTGGAGGAGTTATTTTTCATACCCCAGTGGCACCTGGAAAACCAGCAAGATAGAAACATTCACTTCCCTGAAAAGGCGGCTGAAGCCAGGGAGCCAAGTGGCCTAGCTCAGTGGAATCCACCCCCACAAAGCACAAGAAGCTAAGTTCCACTTGCTGGAAATTGTCGCTGCCAGCATTGCAGTCTGAAGTTTTCCTAAGATACTAGTGCTTGATGGGGGGAGGGGAATTCACCATTACTGAGTCTGAAGTGGGCAGTATTCCCCTCACAGTGTAAACAAAGCCACCAGGAAGTTTGAACTGGGCAGAACCCACCACAGCTTGGCAAAGCTGCTGTAGCCAGACAGCCTCTCTAGATTCCTCCTCTCTGAGCAGGGCACCTCTGAAAGAAAGGCAGCAGCCTCAGGCAGAGGCTGTTAGATAAAACTCCCATCTCACTTGGACAGGGGACCTGGGGGAAGGGGTGGCTGAGGACACACTTCAGCAGACTTAAACTTTTCTGCCTTCTTGCTCTGAAGAGAGCAGCTGATCTCCCAGCACAGTGGGAGAGCACAGCTCAAGCTCACTGAAAGAACAGACTGCCTCCTCCAGTGGGTCCCTGATCCCTGTGCCTCCTAACTGGGAGACACCTCCTAGCAGGGGTCAACAGACATATGACACAGGAGAGCTCCATCTGGCTGGCATCTAGTGGGAGCTCCTCTGGGAGGAAGCTTCCAGAGGAAGGAACAGGCAGCAATCTTTGCTGTTCTGCAAGCTTCACTGGTGATACCCAGGCAAACAGAGTCTGGAGAAGACATCCAGCAAACTCCACCAGACCTGAAGCAGAGGGGCCTGACAATTAGAAGGAAAACTAACAGGCAGAAAGCAATATCATCAACATCAACACAAAAGATGTCCGCAAAGAAACCTCACATGAAGATCACCAACATCAAAGACCAAAGGTAGATAAATCAACAAACATGAGGAAAAACTTGCACAAAAACATCGAAAATTCCAAAAACCAGAACACATCTTCTCCTCCAAAGAATCACAACTACTTGCCAGCAAGGGAACAAAACTGGATGAAGAATGAGTTTGACAAACTGACAGAAGTAGGCTTCAGAAGGTGGGTAATAACAAGCTCCTCCAAGTTAAAGGAGCATGTTCTAACTCAATGCAAGGAAGCTAGGAACCTTGAAAAAAGGTTAGATGAATTGCTAATTAGAATAACCAGTTTAGAGAAGAACATAAATGACCTGATGGAGCTGAAAAACACAGCATGAGAACTTCATAAAGCATACACAATTATCAATAGCCAAATTGATCAAGCAGAAGAAAGAATATCACAGATTGAAGATCAAATTAATGAAATAAAGTGTGAAGACAAGATTAGAAAAAAATGAATCAAAAGAAACAGACAAAGCCTCCAAGAAATATGGCACTGTATGAAAAGACCAAACCTACATTTCATTGGTGTACCTGAAAGTGATGGGGAAAATGGAACCAAGTTGGAAACACACTTCAGGTTATTATCCAGGAGAATTTCCCCAATCTAGCAAGACAGGCCAACATTCAAATTCAGGAAATACAGAGAACACCGCAAAATACTCCTTGAGAAGAGCAACCCCAAGACACATAATTGTCAGATTCGCCAAGGCTGAAATGAAGAAAAAAATGTTAATGGCAGCCAGAGTGAAAGGTTGGGTTACCCACAAAGGGAAGCCCACCAGACTAATAGTGGATCTCTCTGCAGAAACCCTACAAGCCAGAAGAGAGTGGGGGCCAATATTCAACATTTTTTTTTTTTTTGAACAGAGTCTTGCTCTGTGCCTAGGCTGGAGTGCAATGTCACGATTTCGGTTCACTGCAAGCTCCGCCTCATGGGTTCATGCCATTCTCTTGCCTCAGCCTCTCCGAGTAGCTGGGACTACAGGTACCCACCACCACGCCTGGCTAATTTTTTTTGTATTTTTAGTAGAGATGGGGTTTCACTGTGGTCTCAATCTCCTGATCAACATTCTTTTTTTTTATTATACTTTAAGTTTTAGGGTACATGTGCACAACGTGCAGGTTAGTTACATATGTATACATGTGCCATGTTGGTGTGCTGCACCCATTAACTCATCATTTAACATTAGGTATATCTCCTAATGCTGTCCCTCCCCCCTTCCCCCTCCCCCCACTCCACAACAGGCCCCAGTGTATGATGTTCCCCTTCCTGTGTCAACATTCTTAAAGAAAAGAATTTTCAACCCAGAATTTCATATCCAGCCAAACTAAGCTTTATAAGTGAAGGAGAAATAAAATCATTTACAGACAAGCAAATGCAGAGAGATTTTGTCACCACCAGGCCTGCTTTACAAGGACTCCTGAAGGAAACATTAAACATGAAAAGGAACAACCAGTACCAGCCACTGCAAAAACATGCCAAATTGTAAAGATCATCGACACTATGAAGAAACTGCATCAACTAATGGGCAAAATAACCAGCTAGCATCATAATGACAGGATCAAATTCACACATAACAATATTAACTTTAAATGTAAATGGGCTAAATGCCCCAATTAAAAGACACAGACTGGCAGGTTGGAAATGAGTCAAGACCCATCAATGTGCTATGTTCAGGAGACCCATCTCACATGCAAAGACACACATAGGCTCAAAATAAAGGGATGGAGGAAGATTTACCAAGCAAATGGAAAGCAAAAATATAGCAGGAGTTGCAATCCTAGTCTCTGATAAAACAGACTTTAAACCAACAAAGATCAAAGGACACAAAAAAGGCCATTACATAAAGGTAAAGGGATCAATGCAACAAGAAGAGCTAACTATCCTAAATACATATGCACCCAATCCAGGAGCACCCAGATTCATAAAACAAGTTCTTAGAGACCTACAAAGAGACTTAGACTCCCACACAATAACTGTGGGAGACTTTAACACCCCACTCTCAATATTAGATAGATCAATGAGACAGAAAATTAACAAGGATATTCAGGACTTGAACTCAGTTCTGGAACAAGTTCACCTAATAGACCTTCAGAACTCTCCACCCCAAATCAACAGAATATACATTCTTCTCAGAACCACATCACACTTATTCTAACATTGAACACATAATTGAAAGTAAAACACTCCTCAGCAAATGCAAAAGAATGGAAATCATTACTAACAGTCTCTCAGACCATAGTGCAATAAAATTAGAACTCAGCTTAACTCACTCAAGAGAGTCACTTCCAAAATGGCTGAATAGGAACAGCTCTGTTCTACAGCTCCCAGTGAAATTTATACAGAAGATGGGTGATTTCTGCATTTCCAACTGAGGTACCTGGTTCATCTCATTGGGACTGGTTGGACTTTGGGTTCAGCCCACAGAGAGTGAGCTGAAGCAGAGTGGAGCATCGCCTCACCCAGGAAGCACAAGGGGTTGGGGGGTTTCTCTTTTCTAGCCAAGGGAAGCTGTGAGTGACCGTACCTGGAGGAATGGTACACTCCTGCCCAAATACTGCACTTTTCCCATGGTCTTCACAACTGGCTGACCTGGAGATTCCCTCCCGTGCTTGGTGCAGCAGGTCCAATGCCCATGGAGCCTTGCTTGCTGCTAGCTCAGCAGTCTGAGATTGATCTGGGACACTGGAGCTTGGCAGTGGTGAGGTGTGTCTGCCATTGCTGATGCTTGAGTCAGCAGTTCTATGCTCACAGCATAAACAAAGCGGCAGGGAAGCTCAAACTGGGCAGAGCCCACCACAGCTTAGCAAGACCTACTGCTGCTCTAGATTCAACATCTGGGGGCAGGACATATCTGAACAAAAGGCAGCAGACAGCTTCTGCAGACTTAAATGTCCCTGCCTGACAGCTCTGAAGAGAGCAGTGGTTCTCTGAGCACAGTGTTTGAGATCCGACAACAGAAAGACTACCTCCTCAAGTGGGTCCCTGACCTCCTTATAGCCTGGCTGGGAGACACCTCCCAGAGAGGGCCAACTGACACCTCATACAGATGAGTGCCACTCTGGGATGAAGCTTCCAGAGGAAGGATCAGACAGCAATATTTGCTGTTCTGCAGCCTCCGCTGGTGATACCGAGGCAAACAGGGTCTGGAGTGGACCTCCAGCAAACTCCAACAGACCTGTCACTGAGGGGCCTGTCTGGTAGAAGGAAAATTAACAAACAGAAAGGAATAGAATCAACATCAACAAAAAGGACATCCACACCAAAACCCCATCCATAGGTCACCAACATCAAAGACTAAGGGTAGGTAAAACCACAAAGAAGGGGAGAAACCAGAGCAGAAAGGCTGAAAATTCCAAAAAACAGAATGCCTCTTCTCCTCCAAAGGAACACAACCCCTCACCAGCAAGGGAACAAAACTGGAGGGAGAATGAGTTTGACAAGTTGACAGAAGTAGGTTTCAGAAGATCAGTAATAACAAACTTCTCCAAGCTAAAGGAGCATATTCTAACCTATCACAAGGAAGCTAAAAACCCTGAAAAAAGGTTAGACAAATTGCTAACTAGAATAACCAGTGTAGACAAGACCTTAAATGACCTAATAGAAGTGAAAACCACAATACGAGAACTGCATGAAGCATACACAAGCTTCAATAGCTGATTCAATCAAGTAGAAGAAAGGATATCCTTTCAAAGGATTGAAGATCAAATTAATGAAATAAAGCAAGAAGACAAGATTAGAGAAAAAAGAATGAAAGGAAATTAATGAAGCCTCCGAGAAATATGGGACTATGTTGAAAGACAAAATCTACATTTGATTGCTGTACCTGAAAGTGATGGGGAGAACAGAACCAAGTTAGAAAACACTCTTCAAGATATTATTCAGGAGAATTTCACAAACCTAGCAAGGCAGGCCAACGTTCAAATTCAGGAAATACAGAGAACACCACAAAGATACTCCTTGAGAAGAGGAACTTGAAGACACATAATTGTCAGATTCACCAAGGTTGAAATGAAGGAAGAAATGTTAAGGGCAGCCAGAGTGAAAGGTTGGGTTACCCACAAAGGGAAGCCCATCAGAATAACAGCAGATCCCACAGCAGATCCCTCATCAGAAACCCTCCAAGCCAGAAGAGAATAAGGGCCAATATTCAACATTCTTAAAGAAAAGAATTTTCAACCCAGAATTTCATATCCAGCCAAATAAAGATTCATAAGTGAAGGAGAAATAAAATCCTTTACAGACAAACAAATGCAGAGAGATTTTGTCACCACCAGGCCTGCTTTACAAGGACTCCTGAAGGAAACATTAAACATGAAAAGGAACAACCAGTACCAGCCACTGCAAAAATATACCAAATTATAAAAACTATTGATGCTATGAAGAAACTGCATCAATTAACAGATGAAATAACCAGCTAGCATCATAATGACAGGCTCAAATTCACACATAACAATATTAACCTTAAATGTAAGTGGGCTAAGTGCCCCAATTAAAAGACACAGACTGGCAAATTGGATAAAGAGTCAAGACCCTTCAGTGTGCTGTATTCAGGAGAACCATCTCATGTGCAAAGACACACATAGGCTCAAAATAAAGGGGTGGAGGAAGATCTACCAAGCAAATGGAAAGCAAAACAAAGCAGGGGTCACAATCCTGGTCTCTGATAAAACAGACTTTAATCCAACAAAGATCAAAAGAGACAAAGAAGGCCATTACATAATGGTAAACAGATCAATGCAACAAGAAGAGTTAACTATCCTAAATATACATGCACCCAATGCAGAAGCACCCAGATTCATAAAGCAAGTCCTTAGAGACCTACAAAGAGACTTAGACTCCCACACAACAATAATGGGAGACTTTAACACCCTACTCTCAATATTAGACAGATCAATGAGACAGAAAATTAACAAGGATATCCAGGTCTTGAACTCAGCTCTGGACAAAGCGGACTTAATAGACATCTACAGAATTCTCCACCCCAAATCAATAGAATATACATTCTTCTCAGCACTATGTTGCACTTATTCTAAAATTGACCACATAATTGGAAGTAAAACACTCCTCAGCATATGTAAAAGAACAGAAATCACAACAAACTGTCTCACGGACCACAGTGCAATCAAGTTAGAACTCAGAATTAAGAAACTCACTCAAAATCGCACAACTACATGGAATCTGAACAACCTGCTCCTGAATGAGTACTGAGTAAATAATGAAATTAAGGCATAAATAAAAATGTTCTTTGAAACCAATGAGAACAAAGACACAAGGTACCAGAATATCTGGGAGACATTTAAAGCAGTGTGTAGAGAGAAATTAATAGCACTAAATGCCCACAAGAGAAAGCAGGAAAGATCTAAAATCGACAGCCTAATGTCACAATTAAAGGAACTAGAGAAGCAAGAGTAAACAAATTCAAAAGCTAGCAGAAGGCAAGAAATAACTAAGATCAGAGCAGAACTGAAGGAGATCGAGACACAAAAAAACCTTCAAAACATCAATAAATCCAAGAGCTGGTTTTTTGAAAAGATCAACAAAATAGATAGACCACTAGCAAGACTAATAAAGAAGAGAGAAGAATCAAATAGACAATAAAAAATGATACAGGGGATGTTACCACCGAACACACAGAAACACAAACTACCATCAGAGAATACTATAAACACCTCTACACAAATAAACTAGAAAATTTAGAAGAAATGGATAAATTCCTGCACACATACACCCTCCCAAGGCTAAATCAGGAAGTAGTTGAATCTCTGAATAGATCAATAACAGGTTCTGAAATTCAGGCAATAATTAATCACCAACCAATGAAAAAAAACCCAGGACCAGATGAATACACAGTCAAATTCTACCAGAGGTACAAAGAGGAGCTGGTACCATTCCTTCTGAAACTATTCCAAACAATAGAGAAAGACAGAATTCTCCCTAACTCATTTTATGAAGCCAGCATCATCCTGATATCAAAGCCTGGCAGAGACACAACAAAAAAAGAAAGTTTTAGGCCAATATCCCTGATGAACATTGTTATGAAAATCCTCAATAAAATACTGGCAAACCAAATCTGGCAGCACATCAAAAAGCTTATCCACCACAATCAAGTTGGCTTCACCCCTGGGATGCAAGGCTGGTTCAGCGTACACAAATCAATAAACGTAATCCATCACATAAACAGAACCAAGGACAAAAACCACATGATTATCTCAATAGATGCAGAAAAGGCCTTTGACAAAATTCAACAGCCTTTCATGCTAAAACCTCTCAATAGACTAGGTATTGATGGAACGTATCTCAAAATAATAAGAGCTATTTATGACAAACACACAGCCAATATCATACTGAATGGGCAATAACTGAAAGCATTTCCTTTGAAAACCGGCACAAGACAAGGATGCCCTCTCTCACCACTCCTATTCAACATAGTATTGGAAGCTCTGGCTAGGGCAATCAGGCAAGAGAAAGAAATAAATGGTATTCAGTTAGGAAAAGAGGAAGTCAAATTGTCTCTGTTTGCAAATGACATGATTTTATATTTAGAAAACCCCATAGTCTCAGCCCAAAATCTCCTTAAGCTGATAAGCAACTTCAGCAAAGTCTCAGGACACAAAATCAATATGCAAAAATCACAAGCATTCCTATACACCAATAACAAACAAACAGCCAAATCATGATTGAACTCCCATTCACAATTACCACAAAGAAAATAAACTACCTAGGAATCCAAATTACAAGGGATGTGAAAGAACTCTTCAAGGAGAACTACAAACCACTGCTGAATGAAATAAAAAGGATGCAAACAAATGGAAAAAACATTCCATGCTCATGGATAGGAAGAATCAATATTGTGAAAATGGCCACACTGTCCAAAGTAATTTATAGATTCAATGCTATCCCCATCGAGTTACCACTGACTTTCTTCACAGAATTGGAAAAAACCTACTTTAAAGTTAAAATGGAACCAAAAAAGAGCCCGCATTGCCAACACAATTCTAAGCAAAAAGAACAAAGCTGGAGGCATCATGCTTCCTGACTTCAAACTATACTACAAGGCTACAGTAACCAAACAGCATGGTACTTGTATCAAAACATATATATATAGACCAGTGAGGCCAAATAGAGGCCTCAGATAAGAGGTCCATCTACAACCATCTTATCTTTACAAACCTGACAAAAACAAACAATGGGGGAAGGGATTCCCTATTTAATAAATGGTGCTGGGAAAACTGGCTAGCCATATGTAGAAAGCCAAAACTGGGTCCCTTCATTACATCTTACAGAAAAATTAACTGAAGATGGACTAAAGACTTAAACGTAAAAACTAAAACCATAAAAACCCTAGAAGAAAACCTAGACAATACCATTCAGGACATAGGCTTGGGCAAAAACTTCATGACTAAAACACCAAAAGCAATGGCAACAAAAGCCACAATTGACAAATGAGAGCTAATTAAACTAAAGAGCTTCTGCACAGCAAAAGAAACTATCATCAGGTTCAAAAGGAAACCTACAGAATGGGAGAAAAATTTTGCAATCTATCCATCTGACAAAGGGCTAAAATCCAGAATCTACAAAGAACTTAAATAAATTTACAAGAAATAAACAAACAACCCCATCAAAAAGTGGGAAAAGGATATGAACAGACAGTTCTCAAAGAAGACATTTATGCAGCCAACAGACATATGAAAAAATGCTCATTATCACTGGTCATTAGAAAAATGCAAATCAAGGCTGGGTGCGGTGGCTCACGCACACAAAATGCTGTAATCCCAGGATTTTGGGAGGCTGAGGTGGGCGGATCATGAGGTCAGGAGATCGAGACCATCCAGGCTAACACGGTGAAACCCCATCTCTACTAAAAATACAAAAAAATTAGCCGGGCTTAGTGGTGGGCACCTGTAGTCCCAGCTACTGGGGAGGCTGAGGCAGGAGAATGGCATGAACCCAGGAGGTGGAGCTTGCAGTGAGCCGAGATCGCACCACTGCACTCCAGCCTGGCCGACTGAGTGAGACTCCATCTCAAAAAAAAAAAAAAGAAAGAAAGAAAAATGCAAATCAAAACCTCAATGAGATACCATCTCATGCATTAGAATGGTGATCATTAATTGTCAGGAAACAACAGATGCTGCAGAGGATGTGGAGAAATAGAAATGCTTCTACACTGTTGATGGGAGTGTAAATTAGTTCAACAATTGTGGAAGACAGTGTGGTGATTCCTCAAGGATCTGGAACTAGAAATACCATTCGACCCAGAAATCCCATTACTGGGTATATATCCAAAGAACCATAAATCATGCTACTATAAAGACACATGCACAAGTATGTTTATTGTGGCAATATTCACAATAACAAAGACTTGGAACCAACCCAAATATCCATCAATGATAGACTGGATAAAGACAATGTGGCACATATACACCATGGAATACTATGCAGCCATAAATAAGGATGAGTTCACGTCCTTTGCAGGGACATGGATGAAACTGGAAACCATCATTCTCAGAAAAATATCACAATGACAGAAAACCAAACACCACATGTTCTCACTCATAAGTGGGAGCTGAACAGTGAGAATACATGTACACAGGGAGGGGAACATCACACACCAGGGACTGTTGGGAGTGGGGGGCTGAAGGAGGGATAGCATTAGGAGAAATACCTAATGTAAATGACGAGTTGATGGGTACAGCAAATCAACATGGCACGTGTATACTTATGTAACAAACCTGCATGTTGTACACATGTACCCTAGAACATAAAGTATAATAATAAAATAATAATAATAATAATAATAAACACCTTATGGTTCAGAAATGCCAAAAAAAAAAGAAGAAAAGAAAGAAACTCACTCAGAACTGCACAACTACATGGCAACTGAACAACCGGCTCCTGAATGACTACTGGGTAAATAAAGAAATTAAGGCAGAAATAATTAAGTTCTTTAAACCAAGGAGAACAAAGACACAAGGTACCAGAATCTCTAGGACACAGCTAAAGCACTGTTTAGAGGAAAATTTATAGCATTAAATGCCCACAGGAGAAAGTGAGCAATATCTAAAATCGACACTCTAACATCACAATTAAAAGAACTAGAGAAGCAAGAGCAAACAAATTCAAAAGCTAGCAGAAGACAAGAAATAACTAAGATCAGAGCAGAACTGAAGGAGATAGAGACACGAAAAACCCTTCAAAAAGCTGGAGGCATCACGCTACCTGACTTCAAATTATACTACAAGGCTACAGTAACCAAAACAGCATGGTACTGGTACCAAAACAGATATATAGATCAATGGAACAGAATGGAGCCCTCAGAAATAATGCCGCATATCTACAACTATCTGATCTTTGACAAACCTGACAAAAACAAGAAATGGAGAAAGGATTCCCTATTTAATAAATGGTGCTGGGAAAACTGGCTAGCCATATGTAGAAAGCTGAAACTGGATCCCTTCATTACACCTTATACAAAAATTAATTCAAGATGGATTAAAGACTTAAACGTTAGACCTAAAACCATAAAAACCCTAGAAGAAAACCGAGGCATTACCATTCAGGACATAGGCATAGGCAAGGACTTCATGTCTAAAACACCAAAAGCAATGGCAACAAAAACCATAATTGACAAATGGGATCTAATTAAACTAAAGAGCTTCTGCACAGCAAAAGAAACTACCATCAGAGTGAACAGGCAACCTACAGAATGGGAGAAAATTTTCACAACCTACTCATCTGACAAAGGGCTAATATCCAGAATCTACAATGAACTCAAACAAATTTACAAGAAAAAAACAAACAACCCCATGAAAAAGTGGGCGAAGGATATGAACAGACACTTCTCAAAAGAAGACATTTATGCAGCCAAAAGACACATGAAAAAATGCTCATCATCACTGGCCATCAGAGAAATGCAAATCAAAACCACAATGAGATACCATCTCACACCAGTTAGAATGGCAATCATTAAAAAGTCAGGAAACAACAGGTGCTGGAGAGGATGTGGAGAAACAGGAACAGTTTTACACTGTTGGTGGGACTGTAAACTAGTTTAACCATTGTGGAAGTCAGTGTGGTGATTCCCCAGGGATCTAGAACTAGAAATATCATTTGACCCAGCCATCCCATTACTGGGTATATACCCAAAGGATTATAAATCATGCTGCTATAAAGACACATGCACACATATGTTTATTGCGGCACTATTCACAATAGCAAAGACTTGGAACCAACCCAAATGTCCAACAATGATAGACTGGATTAAGAAAATGTGGCACATATACACCATGGAATACTACGCAGCCATAAAAAATGATGAGTTCATGTCCTTTGTAGGGACATGGATGAAATTGGAAATCATCATTCTCAGTAAACTATTGCAAGGACAAAAACCCAAACACCACATGTTCTCACTCATAGGTGGGAACTGAACAATGAGAACACATGGACACAGGAAGGGGAACATCACACTCTGGGGACTGTTGTGAGGTGGGGGGAGGGGGGAGGGATAGCATTAGGAGATATACCTAATGCTAAATGACGAGTTAATGGGTGCAGCACACCAGCATGGCACACGTATACATATGTAACTAACCTGCACATTGTGCACATGTACCCTAAAACTTAAAGTATAATAATAATAAAATAAAAATTAAAAAAAAAAGAAAAAGAAAAACCGTTCCAAAAAATCAATGAATCCAGGAGCAGGTTTTTTGAAAAGATTAACAACATAGATAGACCACTAGCTAGATTAATAAAGAAGAAACGGGAAAAGAATCAAATAGACACAACAAACAATGATAAAGGGGATATAATCACTGATCCCACAGAAATACAAACTACCATCAAAAAATACTATAAACACCTCTACACAAATAAACTAGAAAGCCTAGAAGAAATGGATAAATTCCTGGACACATACACCCTCCCAAGAGTAAACCAGAAAGAAGTCGAATGCCTGAATAGACCAATGACAAGTTCTGAAATTGAGGCAGTAACTAAGAGCCTACCAACCAAAAAAAGCCCAGGACCTGACAGATTAACAGATGAATTGTACCAGAGGTACAAAGAGAAGCTGGTACCAGTCTTTCTGAAACTGCTTCAAGCAAAAGAAAACGAGTGACTCCTCCCCAACTTATTTTATGAGGCCAGCATCATCCTGATACCAAAACCTGGCAGAGACACAAGAAAATAAACTTTTAGGCCAATACCCCTGATGAACATCAATGTGAAAATCCTCAGTAAAATACTGTCCAACGGAATCCAGCAGCACATCAAAAAGCATATCCACCACGATCAAGTTGGCTTTATCTATGGGATTAAAGGCTGGTTCAACATACACAAATCAATAAACGTAGGCCAGGTGAGGTGGCTCATGCTTGTAACCCCAGCACTTTGGGAGGCCAAAGCAGGTGGATCATGACGTCAGGAGCTCACAAGCAGCCTGGTTAACATGGGGAAACCCCATCTGTACTAAAGATACAAAAAATTAGCCAGACGTGGTGGCATGCACCTGTAATTCCACATACTTAGGAGGCTGAAGCAGCAGAATCGCTTGAACCTGGGAGGCGCAGGTTGCAGTGAACTGAAGTCACACCATTGCACTCCAGCCTGGGTAACAGGGGGAGACTCTATCTCAAAATAAATAAATAAATAAATGTAATCCATCACATAAACAGAACGAATGACAAAAACCACATGATTATTTCAACAGATGCAGAAAAGGCCTTCAATAAAGTTCAACACCCCTCATGCTAAAACTCTCAGTAAACTAGGTATTGATGGAATGTATCTCAAAATAATAAGAGCTATTTATGACAAACCCACAGCCAAAATCATACTGAATGGGCAAAAGCTGGAAGTATTTCCTTGGAAAACTGGCACAAGACAAGGATGTCTTCTCTCAACACTCCTATTAAACACAGTATTGGAAGATCTGGTCAGGACAATCAGGCAAGAGAAAGAAATAAAGGATATTCAAATAGAAGGAGAGGAAGTCAAATTGCCTCTGTTTGCAGATGAAATGATTTTATATTTCAAAAAACCCATTTTCTCAGCCCAAAATCTCCTTAAGCTGACAAGCAACTTCAGCAAAGTCTCAGGATACAAAATCAATATGCAAAAATCACAAGCATTTCTATACAACAGTAGTAGACAAACAGCCAAATCATGAGTGAACTCCCATTCATAATTGCTACAAAGACAGCAAAATACCTAGGAATACAACTTGCAAGGGATGTGAAGGACCTCTTCAAGGAGAACTACAAACCACTCCTCAAGGAATTAAGACAGGACACGAACAAATGGAAAAACATTCCATGCTCATGGATAGGAAGAATTAATATCATGAAAATGGCCATACTGCCCAAAGTAATTTATAGATTCAATGCTATCCCCATTCAAGCCACCATTGACTTTCTTCACAGAATTGGAAAAAACCTACTTTAAATTTCATATGGAACATAAAAAGAGCCCGCATTGCCAAGACAATCCTAAGAAAAAGAACAAAGCTGGAGACATCATGCCACCTGACTTCAAACTATACTACAAGGCTACAGTAACCAAACCAGCATTGTACTGGTACCAAAACAGATATATAGACCAGTGGAACTGAACAGAGGCCTCAGAAATAACACCACACATCTACAAACATCTGATATTTGACAAACCTCACAAAAACAAGCAATGGGGAATGGATTCAATCTCTTCAATCCTGCAGTCTCACTACTGGGTATATACCCAAAGGAAGAAAAAAGTCATTATATAAAAACACACCTTCATTCATTTTCTCACAACACAATTCACAATAGCAAATTCAAGGAACCAACCTAAATGTCCATCAGTGGTTGTTCGGATAAAGAAAATGTGGTATATTTAGACCATGGAGTACCAGATAGTCATAAAAAAAACAGAATGAAATCATGCTTTTTGCAGCAACCTGGAAGGAGCTGGAGGCCATTTGCTTATGTGAACTAACTCAGAAACAGAAAATTAAATACCACATGGTCTCACTTGTAAGTGGGAGCTAAACAATGGGTACACATGGACATAAAGATGGAAATTGCAGACACTGGGGACTCCAAAATTGTGGAGGATGGACTGGGAGCAAAGTTTGGTGAATTACCTATTGGGTATAATGTTCATCATTTGGGTAATGGGTACATTAGAAGCCCAGTCCCCACCAGTACACAACGTAGCCATGTAAGAAATATGAGCCTGTATACCATGACTGTATAATGCAACAAAATTTTTAAAAACTAACCTGTGGAATGATAGTGGATACCTTATGAGAGGATGTGGCAGTAGAAAGAATGAGGATGCCTTAGAAACAAAATTATTTTTTATAGGTTATATAAATACATTCACTTTATGTTAGTGCATTGAGCTGTACATTTAGAAAATGTGCATCTTTTTCTATGTATATTTTACTTCAATGAAAAAGCTTATTTAAAAACAAAGTGTTCTGCAGAAGCAATATTTGAAGCAGTAATATCTGAGAATTTCCCAAAATTAAGGACAGACAGCAAACCACAGATCCAAGAGCCTCAAAGAACACCAAGTAGGTTAGGTACCCAAAAGTCTACACCTAGGCACATCATATTCAAATGAAGAAAATAAAGACTAAGCAAACATCTTGAAAGAAGCTAAGGGAAGAAAACATCCCAGCTATCTAGGAACAAGAATAAGAATTACATCAAACATCTCTTAAAAGTTCATGCAAATAAGAAGAGAGCGAAGCAAAATATTTAAAGTGTTGGAAAACATTCTCACCCACTTTGCTTTCTGTATCCAGAAAACTTATCCTTCTTAATTGAAGGAGAGATAAGGACTCTCACTCATAGAAAGTTGAGAAAATTTGTCTTTAGTTGCTGCCTTGCAAGAAATGTTAAAAATTTCCTCAGAAAGAAGAAAATGATACAAGCCAAACACTGACCCACATAAAGAAAAGAACAATGTTAGAGAAGGAGTAATTGATGGCAACATAAAACTTTTATTTTTCTTATTCTTAATTGTCAGACAGATAGTAGTTTGCTCAAAATAATAATGACAACAATATATTTGGTAATTATAGCTTATGGATAGGTGAAATTAATGGCAGTAATGATATAAGGAATTGGAGGGAGGAGTTAAGAATACTTTGATACAGGTAGATGCACTACCCATGAAGCAGTGTAGTGTTATTTGAAAGTGAACTTGGATTAATTACAAATATAAATTGCAAACTCTAGGGAAATTACTAAAGTAAATATTGAAATATTATGTGTTAAGAAGAAGAAATTAAATTATATAAAATGCTCATTTAAAACCATAGAAGGCAGAACAAGAATTGATGACAAAAACAGAAAAAGAACAAAGGCAATGAGTAGAAAACAACAACAAATGTGTTAGATATAATCCTACTATATCAAAATCACTTTAAATATAACTAAATATACCAACTAAAAGACAGAAACTATCAGAGTGGATAAAAAACAAGGTCCAACTATATGTATGATACCAAAAGCTTGTTCTTTGAAAATAAATTTAACAAACCTCTAGCCAGTTTCACCAAGAGTAAAAAGAGAGAAAACACATTTTAATAACGTCAAAATTAAAAGAGGTATAACTATTGACACCTTAGATATTGAAAGGATAATAAGTATATATTATGGGCAACTCTCTGCCCACAACCACGGTAATTTAAATGAAATCGATTAATTTCTTAAAGACAAAATCTTCCAAAACTCAGACAAAAGAAAATAGATAATCTGCTTAAGCCTTTATTTACCAGCTTAATTGAATCAATAATTAATAACTTCCAAAACAGAAAGCCATAAGCCCTAATTATGTTCACTCTTGAATTCCTCCAAACATTTAAGAAAAAAAATACCAATTATCTTTAATCTCTTCCAGAAAATAGTGGCTGTCTTCACACCTCACAGTTTCCTGGCCCTGTAAAATGTCCCTGAGTACAGGGCTTCTTAGGCTCAGTTGCTCTGGAGAGTGTGCTTCCCTTTTCCAGTGGGAAAAAATCAGGTACCTGATAAAATGAGTTATGGAGGAAACCTGGGCAGGAAAGCCTCCCTTTTCAGCCTCATTCCTTATCTTCTTTGATCCTTGGTGCCTCCAAATACTGAACCTTATGAGAATTATAGTGACATAGATTGGCATCTCCTCTTGATAAATCTTCCTCTGCTGATATTTAACGTTACAACTCCATCCTCTATGCTGTGTCAATTGTCAGCCCTCTATTGTCTTTCCATGTTCTAGAAATTTGCCAAAGACTTATTGGCTATTTTCTATTCTCCTCTCTTTTTACTTCAACAGCCTAATTTTAATTTGTAATTTAGTTATTGAAATTTCAGTGGGATCCTGACACAGGGAAAAAGGTATGTTATCTGCTGCAAAGCAGGAACTATTTAAATGTAAATTCTAAGGAAATGTAGAGTTTACTCTAAAGATAAATTATAAATTCAAAGAAAAATTGTATGTGAAAGATGCAATTATTAACCCCCCTTCCAAATATTCCCATTTGGTCAAACAGCAGTTTTATGAAACACACTTCTGGCATAATAAAATTCCTTTAGGTATGGCCTCTGCTTAAATGGAAACACCTTTCTTAGGTGTCTAACTTTTAGGTTACTTCCCAGACTGGAATTTAATTCAGGATAACTAGTACAATTCTAGAATTTCCACTTACACTTCAATAAAGATTGTTTTCATCTCCCTACCCCAGCATCAGAGCATGGAATTTTCAAATTGAGAAAGGATATCTTTAAGAATGAACCTACTGTTCAAAGTGGGCTTTTCATAATAAACCAACACTCAATACCAGGCCAATTTATGCTGGCTCTCCCTACCACAAATTATCTCTGCTGAAATCCAGACACTTCATCAGGGCTTCATTTATTTTGCTACTGCCATACTGTTTTTACTCATCTCAGTCATCCTCCTCCATTGTGCAAAGATGTCCTTTTTAATCATGTCATCAAATTTAGACAGATTACAGCTGATGACACAGAAATTTAAAGAATGAAGCTTCTCTAAGAGAAACAGGATGGAGAACACTGGCACCATCTTCTCAGCATTGTTCTGAAATTCACTTTGTTCATCATCTGTGGTCCTACCTGTGAGCTCTGGGTGCTTCAGCAGGAGCAGGAGTCCATATCTCAGAGTGGTACTTGTCATCTCTGTTCCAGCAACAAATAGATCAGGTACATTGCCCACCAAGTTTTCAATAGTGAATTTCAATGGTTGGTTGTCCTTTTCCTAGAAATGATTTCATGCAATTATCTGACAAATTATGTGCCAGCATATCTAATTACACTATATTTTTAAAAACATACTATTTTATAAAGTTAGCCAAAAGAGATACTGGACAGTATAGTATTAGAAAAAAAAAACAACTGTACGATATGGCAGAAACTGCAGATCAGTAGACCCAAATTTTATTTCCTAACAGACCTACAAATTCCATTTATGAAATCATATGCTGCTTAGGTTAGTCACACAGAATATTTCTTTCCCCAGAAATAAAAGCAGAAGTATACTGATGCCCTGTCTTAGTTCAATATTTGTTAAATAACAAAATGGTACTGGTACAGAAACAGATAGATAGACCAGTGGAACAGAACAGAGGCCTCAGAAACAACACCACGCATCTACAATTATCTGCTCTTCAACAAACCTGACAAAAACAAGCAGTGGCGAATGGATTCCCTATTTAATAAATGATGCTGGGAAAACTGGCTAGCCATATGAGGAAATCAGAAACTGAACCTCTTCCTTACACCTTAAACAAAATTAACTCAAGATGGATTAAAGACTTAAATGTAAAACCTAAAACCATAAAAACCCTAGAAGAAAACCTAGGCAGTACCATTCAGGACATAGGCATGGGCAAAAACTTCATGACTAAAACACCAAAAGCAATGGCAACAAAAGCCACAAATGACAAATGAGAGCTAATTAAACTAAGGAGCTTCTGCTCAGCAAAGGAAACTATCATCATAATGAACAAGCAACTTACATAATGGGAGAAAATTTTTGCAATCTATCCATCTCACAAAGGGCTAATATCCGGAATCTACAAAAGAACTTAAACACATTTACAAGAAATAAACAACCCCATGAAAAAGTGGGCAAAGGATATGAACAGACACTTCAGAAAAGAAGACAGTTATGTGGCTGACAAACATAAGAAAAAAAGCTCATCATCACTGGTCATTAGAGAAATGCAAATCAAAACCACAATGAGATTCCATCTCACCCAGCAATGGGATTGCTCGGTGTATACCCAAATGATTATAAATCATTCTACTATAAAGATACATGCTCAGGTATGTTTACTGCAGCACTATTTACAATAGCAAACACTTGCAACCAACCTAAATGCCAATGAATGATAGACTGGATAAAGAAAATGTGGCACATATGCACCATAGAATCCTATGCAGCCATAAAAAAGGATTACTTCATGTCCTCTGCAGGGACATGGATGAAACTGGAAACCATCATCCTCAGCAAACTCACACAGGAACAGAAAACCAAACACCTCATGTTCTCACTCATAAGTGGGAGTTGAACAATGAGAACACACGGACACAGAGAGGGGAACATCACACACCAGGGTCTGTCAGGGGGTGGGGGGCAAGAGGAGGGAGAGCATTAGGACAAATACCTAAGGCATGTGGGGCTTAAACCTAGATGACAGGTTGATAGGTGCAGCAAACAACCATGGCACGTGTATACCTATGTAACAACGTGCACATTCAACACATGTATCCCGGAACTTAGAGTAAAATAAAATAAAACAAAATAAAATAAAAATACCATCTGTTTTCATTAATAAAATCTTGTCTTTGTAAAATGGGGTAATAATGCTCATCTCATAGAAATATGTGTGTATTAAAAATGATGCTACATACGAATTACAATAAATGTTAGTCACGAAAAAAAGGATTACCTTGGGGGTACTGATGAATTGCTCAAGTGTCAGAGTCTGAATAAGTAGAGATTCAAATGTCAATCTTCTATATATTACCTGTAGGACCCTGAAAATGAATTTGAGATTCTCTGACCACAGTTTTTTTATTTGCAAAATAAGGCAAATAAAAATGCTGAGTGTATTGATGTGAGGAGAAATTTTAATGTCTATAAGTTGTCCGGGCCATTTCATGGCACATTGTAGGTCATCCATAAGTGGCACTATAGTAATCATCATCAAATATATATATATATATATATATATATAAATTTCAGGAATATTTAAGATTGTTTACTATAAAATATTTACAAAATGCAATGGTAATAACAGTCTGAATTAGACACAGTATATGAACCAAGTAGTGACTTATATTATTATTATTTGCAACTCCTTTCCCAGTTCTCAAAAGTCTATGTCCCAGTGTTCACTGTGTATTTTGACATAAAGCTTGTCCTGGAGTTGCATGGATATGAAGTGGTGAAGGAAGCTCTAATTGATCATGGAGAGGAGTTTTCTGGAAAAGGTATTTTCCCAGTATCCAAAAAAAGCTAGTAAGGAGTTGGTACATGTGTGTCAGTGTGTGTGTGCCTTTGTCTGTATTAGTAATGAGGCAGAAGGTGAATGGAAAACAAACACTTGAAGAGCTCCTAAAACTTAGCTTGGCCCATTTGGGTGGCTGTTGAAAATCAGCTTCCTCTTTCTTGCCTGGGATCTCCCTCCTCGTTTCTGTTTCCCTTCCTTTCAGGATCATTTTTAGCAATGGAAAGAGATGTAAGGATATCTGGCTCTTCTTGCTCATGACGCTGTGGAATTGTAGGATGGTGAAGAGGAGCAATGGAGAAGCATGTTCAAGGTGAAGCCCAATGTCTTAGGCAGGAGTTGAGAAGAACCAAGGGTGGGTGACTCTACTCTGCATCACTGACCTTAACAGTCAGCTATCTTCACAGATAATGCTGGAAACATTTCAGTGGTGACCTGATCTTTCATTATAGATGGTTGTTTTCAGTCCTGATGTAGAGGAGGGATTATTTGAAGCAGACAGCCAAGAGAGCTGCTGTGCACCTGTGCTGTGTTTATACAGGCATAATGGTGCATACAGTGTGGGTATACAAGGTAATTTAATCCTTTTGCCTCAACTTTGTTTCTTTGTTTTCAAATCAGAAATCATGAACACAAGATTTGAGTTCATTTTCAGAAAGAGTTAAAGAACTATGCTTTCTCCATAGCATAAATGCAGTTTATCTCTTCTAGAACACTTCACCAGAGAATACTTAAGAATATACTTCACTTGAGAATATTTCTCAACAAAATAGTAGCTAACATAATCCAACAGCATATCAAAAACATAATCCACCATGATTAAGTGGGTATCATACCAGGGATGCAGGGATGGTTTAACATATGCAAGTCAATAAATGTGATACACCACATAAACAGAATTAAAAGCAAAAATCAAATGATTATCTCACTAGATGATGAAAAGGCATTTGACAAAAATCAGCATCCCTTTATGATTAAAAGCCTCAGTGAAATCAGCATACAAGGGACACACCTCAATGTAATAAAAGCCATCTATGACAAGCCCACAGCCAACATAATACTAAATGGGAAAAAGTTGAAAGCATTACCCCTGAAAACAGGAACAAGACAAGGATCCCCACTCTCACCATTCCTCTTCAACACAGTACTGGAAGTCCTAGCCAGAGCAATAAGACCAGAGAAAAAAAATCAAAGGCATCCAAATCAGTAGAAAGGAAGTCAAACTGTCACTGTTTGCTGATGATATGATTTTTTACCTTGAAAACCCCAAAGACTCCCCAGAAAGCTCCCAGAACTGATAAAAGATTTCAGCAAAGTTTCCAGATACAAGATAAATATACAGAAATCAGTAGCTCTCCTATACACCAACAGCAACCAAGCACAGAATCAAATCAAGAACCCAAATCCCTTTTACAATAGCTGCAAAAATAAAATAAAATACTTAAGAATATACCTAACCAAGAAGTCAAAAGACCTCTGCAAGGAAAACTACAAAACACTGCTGAAAGAAATTATAGATGAGACAAACAAATGGAAATACATCCCATGCTCTTGGATGAGTACAATCAATATGGTGAAAATGACCATACTGCCAAAAGCAATCTACAAATTTAATGCAATTCCCATCAAAATACTACCATCATTCTTCACATAATTAGAAAAAAACAATTCTAAAATTTGTATCAAACCAAACCGAAAAAGAGCCCAGATAGCCAAAGCAGACTAGGCAAACAGAAGAAATCTGGATGCATCACACTACCCAATTTCAAACTATACTATAAGGCCATAGTCACCAAAACAGCATGATACTAGCATAAAAATAGGCACAGAGACAAATGGAACAGAATAGAGAACCCAGAAATAAACCCAAATACTTACAGCCAATTAATATTTGACAAAGCAAACAAAAAACTAAAATAGGGAAAGGGCACCCTTTTCAACAAATTGTGTTGGGATAATTGGCTAGCCACATGTAGGAGAATGAACCTGTATCCTCATCTCTCACCTTATACAAAAACCAACTCAAGATGGATTAAGGACTTAAATCTAAGGCCTGAAACTGTAAAAATTCTAGAAGACAATCCCAAAAAATACACTTCTAGATGTTGGCTTATGCAAGGATTTCATGACCAAGAACCCAAATGCAAATGCAATAAAAACCAAGATAAACAGTTCAGACTTAATTAAACTAAAGTGCTTTTGCACAGCAAAAGGAACAGTTAGCAGAGTAAATAGACACCTCACAGAGTGGGAGAAAATCTTCACAATCTATACATCTAAGAAATGACTAATATCCAGAATCTAAAACAAACTCAAACAAATCAGTAAGAAAAAACAAACAAACAATCCCATCAAAAAGTGGGCTAAGGACATGAATAGGCAATTCTCAAAAGAAGATACGCAAATGGCCAACAAACTTATGAAAAATGCTCAACATCACTAATGATCAAGGAAATGCAAATCAAAACCGCAATGCAATACCACCTCACTCCTGCAAGAATGGCCGTAATCAAAAAAATAATAAAACAGTAGATGTTGGCATGGATGCGGTGATCAGGAAACATTTCTACACTGCTACACTGCTGGTGGGAATGTAAACTAGTACAGCCACTATGGAAAACAGTGTAGAGCTTCCTTAAAGAACTGAAAGTAGAACTACCATTTGATCCAGCAATCCCACTACTGGGTATCTATCCAGAGGAAAAGAAATCACTATACGAAAAAGATACTTGCACATGCATGTTTATAGCAGCACAATTCACAACTGCAAAATTGTGGAACCAACCCAAGTGTCCATCAATCAATGAATGGATAAAGAAACTCTGGTATATATATATATATATATATATATATATATATATATATATATATATATATATATATATATATGATGGAATACTACTCAGCCATAAAAAGGAGTGAATTAACAGCATTTGCAGCAACCTGATGAGATTGGAGACTATTATTCTAAGTGAAGTAGCTCAGGAATGGAAAACCAAACTTCTTATGTTCTCACTGATATGTGGGACCTAAGCTGTGAGGATGCAAAGGCATAAGAATGATGAAATGGACTGTGGGGACTTGGGAGAAAGAGTGGGAAGGGGGTGAGGGATAAAAGATTACAAATATGGTGCAGTGTATATTGCTCAGGTGATGGATGCACCAAAATCTCACAAATCACCACTAAAGAACTTATTCATGTAACCAAATACCACTTGTACCCCAATAACTGATGGAAAAAAATAAAAATAAAGATAATTTGACATCTTCCATTCTAATTTGGATGCCCTTTATATCTTTCTCTTGTCTGATTGCTCTAGCTATGACCTACAGTACTATCTTGAATAACAATGATGACAGTGGGCATCTTTATTGTGTTCCAGATCTTAGAGAAAAGGCTTTCAGTTTTTCCCCATTCAATATGATACTAGTTGTGTGTCTGTTGTATATGGATTTTATGTTAAAATATGTGCCTTCTATCCCCAGTTTTTTGAGGGTTTTTTTCATGGAGGGATGTTAAATTGTATCAAATGCTTTTTCAGCATCAATTGAAATGATTATATTGTTTTTAATGCTTCATTCTGTGAATAGGATGTATCACATTGATTGACTTGAGTGTGTAGAACCATCCTTACATCCCAGGGATAAATCCTACCTGGTCATGATGAATGATCTTTGTAATGTATTGTTGAATTCACCTTGCTAGTATTTTGTAGAGGATTTTTGCATCAATATCCATCAGAGATATTGACCTATAGTTTTCTTTTTTTGTGTGTCTTTGTCTGATTTTTGTATCAGAGTAATACCAGCCTCATATAATGACTTTGGAAGTCTTCCCATCTCCTCTGTTTCTTGGAATGTTTTGAGTAGGATTGGTATTCATTCTTCTTTAAGTGTTTGGTAGAATTCAGCAGTGAAGTTGTCAGGTCCCAGGACTTTCTTTAGTGGAAAAGTTTTTATTACAGCTTCCACCTTGTTACCTGTTATTGGTCTGTTCATGCTTTTTTATTTCTTCATGGTTCAGTCTTGGTACATTCTATATGTCTAGGAATTTGTTTATTTCTTCTAGATTTCATGATTATTGGCATATAGTTGTTCATATTAGCCACTAATGATCCTTCCAGTTTCTTTGGTATCAGTTGTGATGTCTCCTTTTTTATTTCTGATTTCATTCATTTGGATTTTCTTACTTTTTTACCTAGTCTGGCTAATGGTTCATAAATTTGTTTAACTTTTCAAAAAAAACCAACTTTTTGTTTCATTGATCTTTTTTTTCATATATATATATATTTAAAAAATAACATCCAAAATCTGTATTTATGCATCAAGGTTTACATTTTATGTCTTGTACCGATGTTATTGTTGACAACTTATATTTCCTCTGTGAGAATCCCAATTGTCTGTTTCTCTTAGTATTTTCCTTTGGGTCCATCAGTTTTCCTTTTGTATTTTTTTATTTCAATTTCATTTCTTTCTACTCTGATCTTTATTATTTCTTTTCTCCTACTAATTTTGGGTTTGGTTTGCTCTTGCTTTTCTAGTTCTTTAAGATGCACCATTAGATTGTTTATTTGAAGTTTTTCCTCTTTTTGATGTAGGACTTATAACTATAAACTTCCGTCTTAGTACTGGCTTGCTGTAGACCGCAGGTTTTTGTATCCATTATCAGTTGTTTCAAGAAATTTTTCAATTTCCTTTTTAGTCTCTTTATGGACTCACTAGTCATTTAGGAGCATACTGTTTAATTTCCATGTATAAGTATAGTTTCCAAAATTCCCCTTGTTATTGATTACTAGTTTTATTCTATTGCAGCCAAAAAAGATGCTTGATATTATTTCAAATTATGTGAATGTTTTAAGAATTGTTTTGTGACCTAACACATAGTTTATCCTTGAGAATGATCCATGTGCTAAAGAAAAGAATGTGTATTCTGTAGCTCTTGAATAAAATGTTCTGTAAATATCTATTAGATCCATTTGTTTTATAGTGCAGATTCAGTTTGATGTACCTTTATTGATTTTCTGTCTGGAATTCTGTCCAATATTGCAAGTGAGGAGTTGAAATCTCCTCCTATTGTTTTATTGGGGCCTAATTCCCTCTTTAGCTCTAATTTTTTCTTTATATATCTGGGTGCCTCAGTGTTGGGTGCATATATATTTAAAATTGTTACGTCCTCTTGCTGAATGATCCCATTGACATTATATAATGACCTTCTTTGTCTCTTATAGTTTTAGTGTTAAAATCTGTTTTGTCTGATATAAGTATAGCAATGCTGCTCTTTTTTGGTTTTCATTGGCTTGGAATATTTTTTTCCATCTTTCTATTTTCAGTCTATGTGTCTTTATAGGTGAAATATGTTTCTTTCAGGCCACAAATCATTGGATTATTTTTAATTGATTTAGCCACTCTATGAAGTTTGATCCAAGAGTTTAGTCCATTTACATTCAATATTATTATTGATAAGTAAGGACTTACTCCTGTCATTTTGTTATTTGCTTTTGTTTTTTGGTCTTTTCTTCCTTCTTTCTTTTTTTTCTTGTCTTCCTTTTAATGAAGGTTATTTTCTCTGGCCATATAAGTTAGTTTCATGCTTTTAACTTTTGTGTTTCCATTGTATTTTTTTTTTTTTTTTTTTTGGTTTGAGGCTACCATGGGGCTTGAAAATATTATCTTATAATCCATTATTTTAAGCTGATAACTTAACACTGTGTGCATTAAAAAAAAAAAGCAAAAAGAGAACTAAGAAAGACCATACACTTTAATTTCATTTGCCCACATTTAAAATCCCTTTTGGTTGCTTTTAAGATTGTCTTTTGGGGAAAATATAGCTATTATATTTTCCATACTTTTTTTTTTTTTTTTTTTTTTTGAGACGGAGTCCCGCTCTTTAGCCCAGGCCGGATTGCAGTGGCACAATCTCGGCTCACTGCAAGCTCCGCCTCCCAGGTTCACGCCATTCTCCTGCCTCAGCCTCCCGAGTAGCTGGGACTACAGGCGCGTGCCACCGCGCCCGGCTAATTTTTTGTATTTTTAGTAGAGACGGGGTTTCACCGTGTTAGCCAGGATGGTCTCGATCTCCTGACCTTGTGATCCGCCCGCCTCAGCCTCCCAAAGTGCTGGGATTACAGGCGTGAGCCACCGCGCCCAGCCTTTTCCATACTTTTTAATCCACATTTATGAGCAATTATTGCACATTTTTACATCTACTTGAAGTTGTACCACCACTTATTTATTATTATTTCATTTTTCCCCTTTAATTTAGAATAGTTTCTTCTCTTATGTCTTCGAATTCACTTATTTCTTTTGTAGTTTCTAATCTACAATTCGATCCAGTGTGCTTTTCACTTCAGACCTTGCATTTTTTTTTCTGGGTTTTCTATCTGTGTTTTTTTTATATATCCCCTTTTGATGAGTAGTATGGCCAGTCTTCCCTCTGCTTTCTTGAACATATGGAATCTAGAGTCAGTTATAACTATCTTATTTTCCTTGTAATGAATTCAATCGTTTAATTTTTAAACCTACTTCTATATATTACTTTTTTTTTTTTTCATATCTTCCCTTTTGCTTGCATGTCTGATAATTCTTGTTTGGACAAAAACCATTGCGATTTTATGTTAAGGCTGCAGAAAATTTGTATGATCTTTTAAATACTTTTGTGTGTTCTTCCAAAATGTAGTTAAGTTACTAGAAAACAGTTTTATCCTTTTGAGGTTTGTATTTAACTTTATTAGAGCACACCAGAGCAGCTGTTAGCCTATGGATTATTTTTTTCCCTTTTACTGAGGAAATACGCTTTGAACACTCTACCCGATATCCAATGAATTAGAGGTATTTCTCTCTGGAGGATGGTTACAGAAATTATTACTAGCACTATATAAACCCTTGTGTTGTTCTCTGTGCTCTTTTCTTTTGGGGGGGGAGGGTGCATTAGTTTTATTTATTTTTTAACATTACAGATTTATTTATTCTTTTTTATTTTTCCATAAGTTATCGGGGTACAGGTAGTATGCTGCCAAGGGGAATTCAGCTGGGGGTGATTGGAGAAGAGTCCAGCCACTGGCCAGCCCTACTCCAGGGGAAGACCACCTTCCCACCCCATCTCCCTCTAAATCTTCATCCATCTCTCTGAGAGCTACCTCCACCACACAATAAAACTTTGCACTCATCCTCCAAACCCACATGTGATCCGCTTTCTCCGGTAACTAGGGCAGGAACCCAGGATACAGAAAGCCCTATGTCCTTGCGATAAGGCAGAGGGTCTAACTGAGCTGATTAACACAAGCCATCTGCAGACAGTAAAGCTGAAAAAGCACACTGTAACACAGCCCACTTGGGCTTCAGGAATCACAGACACCCGTAGATGTTGCCATGGGGCCAGAGCCCAAAAAGCACTCCCCACAGCCTCTGTACCTGCCCATCTGCATGCTCCCTTGAGCAGTGAAGCACCAAGGAAGTGAGCCACACCCCTGTCACACATCCTGCAAGGGGGATAAGGAAACACGCCCATTTCCTTATTATTGAGGGACTGTGAAGCTAAGGCTTTTCTACCCAGATCTGGAATAGCATTGAAGAGCAATGGAAAGGAGAACATAGATATCAGGATAGCTTTAGGTGGAAGAAGGGAGGCCATGTCTCTCAGAGACAGAGCCTAGAAGGACTGTAGAGATGAGACTCCCCAGAAATAAACCCAGCACACTGTAGAGTTTGGGAGGAGACTCTGGAGTCAGATCTTCTATTTACTCCAGCTGTGTCACTTATTTGCCTTGTGACATTGGACAGATTAATAAACATCTCTGTTCCTCCATGACCTTATCTGTTAAATGAATATGAATTATAATTGTACCAAATTCACTGTATAAGAAATGAATTGTTTTCATATGATTAAAATAGTGCCTGCCATACAATAAATACTTCATCATTATATAATTATGAAAATCATTTGTAACTATGCATACTTTTCCATTTTTAAGATCCACCATAATTTATTTACAACCTCCAGTAAAGTTTTGTTTCAAATCTTTTATGAATAATCATAAAATAAGCATTCATATATATAGTAATTAATATATACCTTCAGTGATATCCATTAATACTCAAGAAGTGAAACTGTTTGAAGGATGGAGGTGTTTATATACATTTCTATGAATATCGTCCCATTGGCTTTAAAAGAGAGTAAACAAATTCACACGCTCCTTTATGCCCACATTCATTCATTCATTAAGTAGTCATTAATTTATCTAGTATCTATTGAGCCAATATCTTCTAAACAGTGTTTCAGGTGTCTGGAATTCATTAGTGAGCCAAATAAAGTTCTCTGCTCATATAAAACATGTATTTTAGGGATGAAACATAAACAATAAAAATAAATGCAGAGAATTAGCAAAGTTGTTAGCCACTTCTACTTTCCAGTCAGATTGCCCTTGTTCAACTGTTGGCTCTGACACTTAAAAAGCTGTGTGACCTTGAACAAGATACTTAACAGATCATCAGTGCAATTGTTTGGTTGTTCAAATTGGTATAATAATAATATGGTAGGCTAAATAATGTCTTGACATAAAGAGATTAAGCTGGTGGGTTTCATGTAATCACAAGGGTCTTTACATTAGTGTTAAATATAGTGAACCCCAAGTTTATCTTCAAAGAATCAGTATGTCAGTATGTGCATCTATCTTATTGTTTGATTCTCCATTTTAAAGTTTAACTTCTTAATTCTCTTTGCCCCCTTGCTTCCAGTTTCAGTAAACAACTTTCTTACCAGTCCTAATAAATAGTTCACATCTGTTCCCCTGGTCACCTGCTTTGACCCTAGTCACCCCTGGTCACCTGCTCTATCCTGACTCATCCTGAGCCACCAGTTCTGTAACCGCCCTTCCCACCAAACTACTTACCCCACCACTCTGGCTCATACTCCTGCTGTTTTTTAAAAGAGCCAATTGGAATTAGCTTAGACTGTGCAGTCCAACAGACTGTGCAGTCCGACCCTAGCCAATGGGGGAGTGACACAGCAGTAGAGGCTACCTGCATCAGGAATAAGAACCTCTTCCCCTCCTCTGTCCAGGTGTGCTCTCGCCATTGTTCCATCTGCAAGGAGCACTCTTTCTGCAGAAGGTAAAAATTGTCTTGCTGAGAAAATTAAATTCATGTTCAAGTGCTATTTCTTTGCAGCACCAGGGAACAAGCATTTTGCATTTCTAACAATTTGGTGGCCCGTACAGGGACCTATTCTCCTCTGGGGGTAGTCTCCAGTCCTCTCTCCTAAGGAGGTGCCCTGCTGCCTCATTGCTGTGGCCTCAGCGGTGAGGAATTGAGACCCACCTGCTGTGCTGAATAAACCCGGACTCTCAGCAATGCGGAAAGAAACCGGCTGGTGACCTGAAGTAAAGGATCCTCACATACTACGTGGACCAGACAACCTCGTGCACAAGCCAAGGAAGGAAACACTGGAGGAGCTGGTAAAGTATTTCCTTGGTGGTCAAGACTAAGGAAAGAAAAAACACAGGGGCAATGAAGCATTCCTTGATTGGGACATACCAAGGAAAGAGAAGCTGCAGGGGTGGTAAGGCATTCCTTAGTTGGGACTAAAGAAAGAAAATCCATGGGGGGCAGTGAAGTATTCCTTGGTCAGGAGGTTAAAAAGAGGTGAGACATTTCTAGTAAGGGAAATTGAGCCTCATCCCAAAAGGCAAGACATTTCCTGTAAGGGAATTGAGCCTCACCCCAAAATGTGAAACATTTCTGGTAAGGGAAATTGAGCCTCACCCAAAAATGGAAAATACCCCAAGTAAGGTAAAGGATAAAGCTAACAACAATAATATTCCCCCTAATAATCCCCTAGGCCTAATGTTAAAATATTAGAAGGATAAAAAAAATCTTATAAAGAGAGAGAGAGAGACAGAGAGTCAAAGAGAGAGAGAAAGAGTAATAAAGTGAAAGCAACGTACCTATTCCTTTAAAAGCCAGGGTAAATTTAAAACCTGTAATTGATCATTGAAGGCCTTCCCCGTGACCCTATAACACTCCATTACTGCCTGTAAAGAAGGCAGGTGGGTCACACCAGTTAGTGCAAGACCTTAGAGCTATTACTCAGATAGTCCAAATTACCCACCCTGTTGTTATGATAATAGATTTAAAAAATGTCTTCTGGGCTTGTCCATTCACAGAGGACAACCAGGACCTATTTGCCTTTGAGTGAGAAGACCCTCACTCCAATTGAAAATAGCAATACTGATAGACAGACAGTCTTACCCCAAGGGTTTACACTCTCCAAATTTATTTAGTCAAATATTAGAACAAGTCATTTAATTAGCAAAGGTAAACAGCAAATTGAGCTTGAACAGATTGAAGGCATCATATCCTTGCCTCTGCCAGAGACTAAACAAGAGCTTAGAAAATTTTAAGATTAGTTGGGTACTGTCATCTATGGATAGACTCTTATGCCCTAAAAACAAAACCCTTATACAAAAAGCTCACACAAGATGGGCCCAACCCCCTCATTTGGCAATTACCAGAAATCCAACAGGTGGAAAGGTTAAAACAACTATTAGTAACTGCCCCTGTCCTATTTTTGCCCTCCTTAAGCAGCCAGTCCATCTTGTTTTCAGTGTAAACAAGGGCATAGCCTTAGAAATACTTACCCAAGAGCACGGAGGCCACTGACAACCTATAGCCTTCCTATCAAAAATTCTTAACCCAGTAACCCGCAGATGGCCCAAATGCATTCAGTCTTTAGCTGCAACTGCTTTGCTAACAGAAGAAAGTAGAAAAATAACTTTTAGAGGAAACCTCATTGTGAACACACCTCAGCAATTCAGAGCTATCCCAAGTCAAAAAAAGCAAAAAGGTAGCTTACTGACTCAAGAATCTTAAAATATGATGCTATTCTGTTAGAAAAGTATGATTTAATATTAACCACTGATAATTCACTTAACCCAGCAGGTTTCCTAACAGGGGATCTAAATCTTAATTAATTACCATACAAAGGCCCAACCAGACCTAAGAGGAACTCCCTTCAGGATGGGATGACACTTATTTATTTATAGGTGGTGCCACCTGGGTGATTGAGGGAAAAAGACCCAATGGGTATTCAGTAATTGATAGGGAAACTCTTGTAGAAATGGAGTTAGGAAAGTTGCATAATAATTGGTCTGCTCAAACGTGTGAGCTGTTTGCACTCAGCCAAGCCTTAAAGTACTTACAGAACCAGGGAAGAACCATCTATACCAATTCTAAGTATGCCTTTGAAGTGGCTTATACATTTGGAAAAAAAAAAGTTTAGACTGAACGAAGTCTTATTAATAGCAAAGGATAATTAAAATCCCAAACTTACAAGATTTTCAACAGAAGTAAAGTTAGCTACAAGTTAACAGTGTAACATGTATTATCCTAATTTCCAATCTTGTGGCCTTAGGCAGTCTAGTGCCCGGACATGAAGGAAGTTCACTTTGGAAAAGAACAGTTATCATCTTTGACAAAAAAAAGGGGGGGAGTGGAGAATTTATGTAAAAGAAATGTTATATGGTAAATTCTTGTCCTAAAATAGATTAACTGGTTGTTTAAAGAAAGTGATGTTTACAAGTCAGAAAGTTGAGGCATGTCGAAGACTGTCTGTGAAAGTCATGAAAAATGCTATAAAAGGGAATTTATGCAAGAATTGTTGTATAATTTAAAAGTAATTAGGCCTCCTGAATGTAAAATTATTGAAGAAACAGTTTATGTGCAAGGTGTGTAAGGAAAGTAAAACATACTTTTGGTAAAGGAGTTATAAGGAGGCAGAAGAATGTGAATTTTTACCTACATTAAAAGGTTAAAAAAATTGTTTTGAAGGTTTAAGCAAATTTTGAAATGTTAATTGTAAAGGAAATTCTGTGTGTAAACATATTGCTAAAGTTAAAGGGGTATCATACAGTTTTTCTGTGAACTGGACATTAAAAGCATGACAGTTTTTTTTAAAGCACTAAACTGCTCTTTAACAAAAATTATAAAGGGTTAAAAAGAGTCTGTAAAAATCTTACCTTATGGTCAGACATTAAAATTGGATAAATAATGTCTACAAGGTTTTATAAAAATTGAGTTTAACATTAATAACACACTAATATAAAGGTAAAATTTAGCTTATCTGGTATAAAATCATACAGGAAGCACTGTCAAATATAAAATGACATTTGGCTTTCTTTGGTCTAAAAACCAATAAAAATAGGTGCTAAAAAAAAATTCAGAAGGAAAAAGGATATTGCTAAACCAGAGAAAATTGTTATCCAAACCTCTTATGAGGGAAATCCTGTTCCAACTGCATTGAGGGACCCATTGGGGACCCCAAGGCATGTGTGATGTAGTTCTCAGAGTTTATAGGGGTATAGAAATTTACACCCTGGCGAAAGTTACAGATAGTTGCTTAGCATGTAGGAAAACTAATAAACAAGCTATAAAAACATTACCCCTCAGGGGAAGGAATCCAGGCTTAAGGCCATTCCAGAATATCCAGATTGATTGCATAGAGATGCCTCCAATTAGTCATCTAAAGTATATTTATTAGTAATAGTAGATCACCTTACTCATTGGGTAGAAGCTATTTCCTTTTCAAGTACAACTGCTAATAGTGTAGTCAAGGTATTAGCTGAAAATATTATACCCAAGTTTAGATTAATAGAAAAGATTGATTCAGATAATAGGACTCATTTCACTGCACATGTCATTAAGAAATGAGCCCAGGTTGCTCGGCACAGTGGCTCATGCCTGTAATCCCAGCACTTTGGGAGGCCAAAGTGGGTGGATCAAGAGGTCAGGAGTTTGAGACCAGCCTGACCAACATAGTGAAACCCCGTCTCTAATGAAAATACAAAAATTAGCCAGGCGTGGTGGGGGGCACCTGTAGTCCCAGCTACTCGGGAGGCTGAGGCAGGAGAATGGTGTGAACCTGGGAGGCAGAGATTGCAGTGAGCCAAGTCATGCCACTGCACTCCAGCCTAGGTTGAAAAAAAAAAAAAAGAAATGAGCCCAGGTACTGGATATAACATGGGAATATCATAATCTCTGACACCTACCTTCATCAAGGAAAGTAGGAAGGCCTATTACCCTGTTGAGAGTCTGAACTGCTCCCTGAAAAGACATAGGCCTAGCCCTGTATGAGATGCTTTATGGATTGCCTTATCTACATTCTACTACTGATTTCTCTACATTTGAAACAGAAGATCAGTTTCTCAGAAATTATATACTTGGTTTATCTTCCACTTTCCCTTCCCTCAGAACTAAAGGTCTTTCAGCACAGGTGCCACCCCTAGCATTTCCAGCACACCAGCATCAGCCTGGGGACCACGTCGTTGTCAAAAGTTAGAGAGAAGGAAAACTTGAACTGGCAAAGGACCTTACCTAGTGCTCCTAACTACCGAAATGGCAGTCTGGACAGCAGAAAAAGGATGGACCCATCACACCCAAGTCAAGAAAGTGCTGCCCCCTCCAGAGTCATGGGCCGTAGTCCCAGGAGAAAACCCTATCAAACTAAAGATAAGAAAAATTTAACTCCTTTCATCTATTCTGTTACTCCTTCTTCTTTCCTTGCTCTATTGCTGACTACCTAGTTATTAATGTAACCAAGTCAATTTTGCCTCAAACTATTACATTTGATGGTTGCCTTGTTATACCCTGTGGAGATTTGCCAAGTTAGGGGCAACTCTCCACTTCAGAAAACTATCTTTATCCTTCCTAGCTCTCCTCAGACTAAAAATCTGTTAACTGGGATAAGTTAGTTTGAGAAGAGTTTGATGAAGATTCCAGTATAAACTGGAAATCTTGTCCTCCTAGAGCAGAGCTTCTCTGCCAAACTTGGCTCAATGCTCTATAAAATACTAAAGAGCAAGGATGGACCACACTAACTAGTACTTGCAGTTTCTTAAAACCATATATTCATTTTACTAAAGGAGCTATCCCTCCCCACTGTCAGCTAAACCAATGTAATCCAGTACAGATTACCATCTCTGTTCCCCAGAGTTCTTCCCCTTCATTAAACCATTTCTATGGTATAGGAGCAGAAGTCTCAGGATCCTTTGAAATGTGCTTCATTTCCTCCTCACTTCCTGTACCCTTTTCTCCCTCTCCTAAGTTCTCCTCTAACCAACATTCTCTTGTTATATACCCAATGATAAAACCAAACTAGTTGTTGTAGAGGTTAACTATTTAAAACAAACTATAGCAATTGAAACAGGGTATCAGGATGCAAATGCTTGGCTGGAATGGATAAAATATTCTGTTTGCACGATAAACAAAAGTGACTGTAACGCTTGTGCGATAGGCAGGCCAGAGACCCAGATTGTTCCCTTTCCACTTGGGTGGTCCTCTCAGGGACCTGGCATGAGCTGTATGGTAGCTGTCTTCCAGAACCCCACAGCCTGGGGCGATGAGTCATGCAAGGCTCTTTTACTGCTGTTCTCTGAGGTTAAGAGCCCTGTGGGTCAGCCCTCAAGGGCCTTCTGGCCTCCAGCCCCTGATGTTAACTTCACCTCATTCCTTTCACAGCAGGGGAAAAAGTTAGCATTCCTTGAAGATTTAACAGGGTGCAGTGTAACCAAGCCTTTCCAAGAGCTTACCAATCAGTCTGTCCTTGTTCATCCCTGAGCATAAGTGTGGTGGTATCATGGGGGACTATTGCTGGATACTCTGCCAAGTTATTAGAGCAGCACTTGTGCTCTAGTCCAATTCACCATCCCTTTCACTCTAGCATTTCATCAACATGATTACAAAAAAAGAGAGAAAATCATAAAAGAAGAAGTGCCCTATATGGGTCCTTTGACCCCCATGTTTATGTAAATGCTATTAGAGCTCAATGAGGAGTGCCAGATGAATTTAAAGCCCATGATCAAATAGCTTCAGGATTTCAGTCAATATTCTAGTGGGTAAAAATTAATAAAAATGTAGACTGGATGAATTACATCTATTATGATCAACAGTGGTTTATTAACTACACTAGAGATGCTGCTAAAGAAATAGCAATGCAATTAGGGGCTACTAGCCAGATGGCTTGGGAAAATAGAATAGCCTTAGACATTATATCAGCAGCAGAAGGAGGAGGAGTTTGCATCATGATTAAAACTCAATATTGTACCTTCATCCCAAACAATACTGCCCCTGATGGAAGTATAACAAGGCATTGCAAGGTCTAACTGCTCTGTCCAATGAGTTAACCAAAAACTCAGCGGTAAGTGACCCCTTTAAAAGGTGCCTAGAAAAATCATTCAGTAAATGGAAAAAAAAAATCATAGCCTCAGTTCTTACTTCTCTCACAGCCATAGTAGGCGTATTCATTCTTGTTGGGTGTTTTGTCATACCATGCATCCGTGGGCTGGTTCACAGACTCATACAGGCAGCACTTACTAAAACCTCCCTTAATTCTCCTCCACCTTATTCAGAGAAGCTTTTTCTTTTAGAGAATCATGCAGAACAACTAAGCCAAGACATTTTAAGGAAGTTTGAAGAGAAGGAACTGTAAAAATTCAAGATGAAGAACTGTTAAATATAGTGAACCCCAAGTTTCTATTCAAAGAATCAGTATGTCAGTATGTTCAGCTCTCTTATTGATTCTCCATTTTAAAGTTTAACTTCCTGGTTCCCTTTGCCCCCTCCCTTCTAATTTCAGTAAACAACTTTCCCACCAGTCCTAATCAGTAGTTCACATCTCTTCCCCTGGTCACCTGCTTTGATATGACTCACCCCTGGTCACCTGCTCCATCCTGACTCATCCTGAGCCACCAGTTCTGTAACTGCCCTTCCTGCCAAACTACATGCCTCACCACTCTGGCTCATACTCCTGCTCTTTTTTAAAATAGCCAGTTGGAATTGCTTAGACTGTGCAGTCCAACCTAGCCAATAGGGGAATGACACAGCAGTAAAGGCTATCTCCATCAGGAATAATAACCTCTTCTCCTCCTCTGTCCAGGTGTGCTCTCACCATTGTTCCATCTGCAAGGAGCACTCTTTCTGCAGAAAGTAAAAATTGCCTTGCCGAGAAAATTAAATTTATGTTTGAGTGCTATTTCTTTGTGACACCAGGGAAAAAGCATTTTGCATTTCTAATGTAAGGGAGATGTGAGAATAAGAGTCAGTAGTAGGAGTAGGAGATGTGACAACAGAAGCAAGTGTTTGGAGTGAAAGAAGGAAGAGTTCATGAGCCAAGGAATGCAGGCAGCCTTTAGGAGGTGAAATAGGCAGGAAAACAGATTATTCACTACAGTCTCTAGGAGAAAACAGACTTGACATCTACTTGATTTATCTCACCTAGGGGTGTTTGCCAGCACCTCTACTAACACTACATTAATACATTTGCATTTCCCAATGAAGAAGGTTGAAAGGTATAATGTATAATTTCCATTTGGATCTTCCCATTAATGTAATACTCATTTCCACTTTCTCTTCTATTATCTCTCTCAATCATTTCCCTATGTTTCTATCACCTTAGAGGTTTTGCTGCCATATTACTTGATAGGAAAATAACAAGTTTTAATACAAGATGTGTGATATGAGCCCAATATTGTAATAAACATTTAACCCTATATGTATGTGTGCATAAGTTACATATATGTGTGTGTATATATATATATATATGCATATATATAAAATGGGTAAATACACATAATGTACACAGACATATATAGATGTTCATGTACACCTGTATCCACATATTATCTTTAAAACGTATTCCAAAATGTAAGTAACTTCTTCTGGGAGATGAGCTGTGAGAAGCATAACAAATTATGTTACTTCTTATTTCTTACATTTCAAGTAGAAGACAGGAAAAGTGGTGAATATAATTTAACATAAGATACTTAGTTGTCTATTCTTTGGAGATGACATGAGGCTAATTATATTTAGGACCATAGCATAAAATTATCATCCCACTTATGTTAAAAGTAAAATAATGTAGGAGAAGCTGAGAGAGATTAAATCTTTGTAATTCTTCTTAGAAATTTTGCCCAGCCAAGCATGGTAGCTCATGCCTGTAATCCCAGCACTTTGGGAGTCCGAGATGGGTGGATCACTTGAGGTCAGGAGTTCAAGACTAGTCTGGCCAGCATGGTGAAATGCTGTCTCTACTAAAAATACAAAAATTAGCCTGGTATGGGGGTTGGCACCTGTAATCCCAGCTACTTGGGAGGCTGAAGCAGGAGAATCACTTGAACCCTGGAGGTGGAGATTGCAGTGAGCCAAGATCATGCCATTGTACTCCAGCCTGGGCAACAAAAGCGAGACTACATCTCAAAACAAACAAACAAACAAACAAAAACCAAAAAGAAATTTTGTTTATGTTTGAAGAGAGAAACATGACAGAACACATGAGCAGCGATATGAAAGCATGTATTTATACTTCATTACATCATTCTAAGTTGGAAACATGAAGTAATAAAAGTAATCTGATTCTTTATTTAGAGATAAAGTAATGACACTTCAAAGTAACACCAGGCCAGGCGCAGTGGCTCACACCTGTAATCCCAGCACTTTGGGAGGCTGAGGCAGGCAGATCACAAGGTCAGGAGATTAAGACCATCCTGGCTAACACGGTGAAAACCCGTCTGTACTAAAAATACAAAAAATTAGCCAGGTGTGGTGGCATGCACCTGTAATCCCAGCTACTCAGGAGGCTGAGGCAGGAGAATCACTTGAACCTGGGAGGCGGAGGTTATAGAGAGCTGAGATCACACCACTGCACTCCAGCCTGGGTGACAGAGCAAGACTTTGTCTCAAAAAAAAAGGAACACCAATGTGGATATAAGAATTCTAGCATTTAATGTCCATTCCACCCTTTGACTGATCCTCTGAATATTTCCCTAGAGGTTAGAGCTGCCCCTGGACACAGTTTCTCACTTTCAAATCCAATCCTCAAGTAACTCTAACACTCACCCAAAATAGCTTCCCTACCCTCTTCCTCTTTGTCCTTTCTGTCCTTATCATTTTGAGAACCAGCATGGCCTCCTGGAACTCTATTTTCTTTAATTTCTGACCTACATTATGCATAAAAGAAGGAAGGTCTAATAAACTGACTCAGCAAATAATAATGCTTTTTATTTAGAACATGCAGAAAAGAAATGCCTTTGAATTATAATACACAAATCATATTTCTCTATTTAATAATAACATATTAATAACTCAACATTAGATAAGTATGAGCATTATGTGACAGTCAATGCAACTGTTACAGAGTATGGAGAATAGCAGATATATTTGCACAGTGAAACATAGGAAACTCTCCGTAATGGAGGTCGAATGTTCACTAGATCTTCAGGGAAGGGAAAATGTGAGATGACAGGTGAGAAAAGGCATTACAGATAGTGAAAGATGGATAATGCCCCAGAGGAAAGAGAGCTGCAGGGACTGCACAGCAGCAGCCAGGCCATCTGCTCTTCTTCAGACAGGAATGAAGCACAGCTGGTAGAAGGGCGGCACAGAGGCAAATCCATTGACAACTGGAGTGGTGTCAAGGTTCTTTGGGTCAACCAGAGATTTCAGGTTAAAGTTCTGTAAAATGGAGGTCAGGAATAAAAACAGCTCCATGCCGGCCAGGGCTTCTCCCACACAAATCCGTTTTCCTGAAAATAGCAAACACAGAGAGCAGTTACTCCTCATGCGTAACTGTGACAGTGACAAACACTGTCTCTGTAACTGGCACAAACAGAATATGCAATAACTGTTCAGTGTATCGTAGAAGAGATGAAGAGATAGATGGGTGGATGGGTGCATGCATGAATGAATGGATGGATGAGTGGATGGATAAATGGATGAATGGATGGATGTATAGGCAACTGAAAAATGAATGGACATACTTACTCTTCACCTAATATCAGATCTTAACAGGCACCCTGTATTCAACAAATATTTGTTGAGTACCAGCTACATGCCAAGCACTTTATTAAAATCTTTCAAGAGACTTTAAATGTCTTCATCAATCTTTCTTTAGAAACATACATTTCTTGTCCAGTGGGTTGAACTGAGAAGGGCTTAGAGGAGGAGGCTAACATACTGTATTTCCCTTTGTATTTCTGGCTCAATATGCAGCCAAAGATTTTTTTCCTCTAGGTACTTTCAGGAGCACATGTCTAAACATGTCACCTTCTCACTTTAAAACTTTAAATGGCTTCCCTGTATGTCCTATAGGATAAGGTCCCAATGGATTGATCTGGACCCTCACATTCTGTTTCCAGTCTGATGATCCACATCACTCCTTACACTCTTCAAATCCGATACTGTCAACTCTAGGCATAGCCACTCATCATCAGTCTCCAACACACCATGAGGTTTCAAATTTTATATCATGCTGCTCCTTTTAGCCAAGATGAACTTTTCTATTACCACAGTCAGGACATAGGTCAAATTTTATCTCCTTTTTTACCCTCTTTCTCATCTCCTTGAGCAAGAAAATGTTGCCTTCTCTGGGTTTCCTCAACATTATATTTCCATTGAAAAATGTGCTATGGTCTGAATATGCCTCCCCCAATTTCATATGTTGACACATAATCCCAATGCAACATTACTAAAGAGATGGCTCCTTTTAGGAAGTGAATAAGTCAGGAGGGCTCTGTCCTTGCTAAAATAATAACATCAAGAGATGCAAGGGAGCCATTTCTCCCCTTTTGCCTTTTTGCCCTTCTGCCATATAAGGATACAGAGGGGGCATTATCTGTAAGGAACAGGCCCACATCAGACACTGAACTTGCTGACACATCGATCTTGGAACTCCCAGCCTTCAGAACTGTGAGAAATAAATTTCCATTATTTATCAATTGCCTAGTCTTGGATATTTTGTTATGGCAGAAGAAACAGACAGCATGGATCACCTAGAATAATAATTACTGATTTATTTATTTATTTATTAGTGTGCGATATGGTTGGGCTCTGTGTCCTTACTCAAATCTCATGTCAAACTGTAATTCCCAATGTTGGGGGAGATACCTGGTGAGAGGTGATTGAATCATGGGGGATAATTTCCCCCTTTCTGTTCTCATGATAGTGAGTGAGTTCTCATGAGATCTGGTTGTTTAAAGGTATGTAGCCTTTCCTCATTGTTCTCTCTCTTCTGCTCTGCCATGGAAAGATGTGCTTGCTTCCGCTCTGCCTCCCACCATGATTGCAAGTTTCTTGAGGTCTCCCAGCCATGCTTCCTGTACAGCCTGTGGATCTGTGAGTGAATTAAACCTCTTTTCTTCATAAATTACCCAATCTCAGGTAGTTCTTTAAGGCAATGTAAGAGTGGACTAATACATGTGCTAAATGTGAATGCTTGAAGGAAGGTTTCTTTTCTTGTTGTCTTGGTATCTACAGTGGCAGATATAAAGCAGACATTAAAGGTCATAGAATAAAGGAAGGAGATTCTATCACCAGATGCTCAGCACACACATTTCAAGTATGGAGATCCAACATCCAATATACATGGCCATGACTAGGGGAACAGCATGGTGCTCTGCATCACTGCAGAGTATCCTGCTACATTCCCAATGTCCCCCTCATCCCATCCATGGTCATTTGGCAAAGGTTCTAATATCCTTTATTTAGAGCCAATGTCCTGCTCCTGTGGCTCATTATCTCCTTTAATAGCCCTGTCTTCTCTTCTTTTCATCCTCTCTGCCTCCTTTGAGGTAGCTCAAATGTCTTTACTGCTATTAAAATATTACTTATGCCTCACTTTGGGGTATAAGAGTACAAGAAGCAGACAGCTTTTCCGTCTACCTCCCAACCCCCAACAGCCTGTTCTTTCCATATCACAGCCTCAGTCCTATTGAACTACAATGATCTGTTTACTCTGCTTTCCAAACTCAGAAGTGAGCCTTTTAAGACCCTATTCTGTGTTTGTGGATAATTTTATCCTACAAGCCCAGCCTAGGGGGTGAGGGACACCATGTGGAAGACACTCAGTGAAGTTCTGGAGTGAGATAACTTCCTCATGGCTAGTGAGGAAAATGTAATTAGTTTTATCTTCCAGGAGGAGTTCTTGGGTACCTCACTGGTGTACCTAGAGGCAGAATTCAACCAACCTATATTTCAGCTTTCTCAATTTGGAAGAATTGGATTAACTCCCCAAAGTCCACTAATCTGGCCCAATAATTAGGATGTATCATGAGCAGGGTGTACACAGGCATTCAGAACAGTGCTCTTGATCATGTACAAAGAGTAATTGTACCACTGCAGAGGAGGCACATGTAAGTTCCAATGGATCAAAAAAGTTATCTTGTACCCTGAAACACAAATGGAAATAAATTTATATTACCTGCTGAGAAAGGCATGAAGTATTTACTTTTCTTAAAATTGCCACCTTCATCCAGAAAGTGATGAGGGTCAAACATCTCTGGGTTGGGAAATTCTTTGTTGTCATGTAGCACAGAAGTCAGGGAAATTAATATGGTTGTGCCCTAGAAACAAGAGACATAGATGAACTGAGCTGTAAAGAAGCCATGAAGGTTGAAGAAACAGTGGTAATCATGTAGTTAAATCTTTTGATGTGCAGATGAGGAAATCCCGTTCCAAAGAAGGGCAGTACCATTTCCAGATGGATAGACCAAGTAATAAGAGTCATGAACTTAAGGCCCATGACAATAATCTTGCTAAAGTGCCCTGCAATCACATTTGAAGTCCTGAGTACTTGGATACTTGGATGCAACCTTCTGAATCTGTCCTCCTTTTCATCAAGCTTGGAAACTAGTGGCTGTCCACACTTGCTTCTCTATTCCATCACTTCAGTTTTCACCAACCTTATGTGTAGAGTATAACTAAAAGTTGAAGTCTCTGTTGACATGGGAAATGGCCACAGTATCTGTTCACAGGGCATTTGTGAATAAACATATGATTGAATTTCAAATGACATCTTCTGGGATGGTAACAAGTGTAGTGGCAAGGATAAAACTATTGAGTTCTTGTCATTGCCATGCAGTTTGTTTGTCTTCATTTAAAGATATGGGAGAGATATTCATTACAGATTAATCCTAGCTTAAAAATACGGAAGGAATGATGAAATTAGAAAAATCACCTATTTGTAACCATTCAGGTCAAGATCATCAGGTCAGATGAGGATCATTAATGAAAGATAAAACTATTGGATGTGTGACTTGGGAAACAGGGTGTTCTGCCTTGAAGTACCATGCCATAGATTTTCATCATTCACGCATAAAAAGCAGAACCCCTTCAATGGAAAGATCTGGCAGATTCCAACTTATTAGGTGAGGATCTTAGCATAACCAATAATGGCATATGTGACATTATGTGCCCCTGCCTCACCACTGTGATTCAGCAGAATATTCAAAATACTATGTAGTTTTCTTGCCAAAGTCATAACTGGAATATAATATTTAGAAAACAATTACCCAAAACGAGCCCCAGGAAAATTTAAATGACTAATTGCTCAACTCTTCACAGAGATCAACATACTGAAAGGAAACAGAGGAAATGGACTCTTCTTGATTACAGGAGATGGAAAGTAACAGGATACTGAAACTATGTGCTTATTTCTTGACTGGAGAGTGAATTGCAAGAAAAAAGTGATTAAAATATTATTTTAAAGTTGGGAAATTTTAAATAAAAGCTGTATAGTAAATAATATTATTGTATTAATAACTCCACAGTATGAATGCTATTATTATGTAGGAGAAAACCATTGTTATTGTGCTATACATACTGAAGTATTGAGGTGTAAATAGATGGATGGACAGATATCAGAGTAGATATGTATACACACTGCCATATGTACATATACATATGTGTGTGTAATGTTATTTATTTTAAAAAATTTTATAATAAAAATGTTAGGAAAAATTCTACCCCCTAAATTTTCATATAAATAGTCTATAATTTTGTTTTTTAAAAATATTCCCTTGAATATTTATAAACAAGTACTATATTAAAATGTTATTGATACCAAAGCAGATTTATTTCAACAAATGTTACTTGAATAAGTAGAAATTTATAGACATTGAAGCATGACCACTATTACTTCATATTATGAAATAAAAATTAATTTGAAATATGTCATTGATCTAGATATAAGAGCTAAAACAAAAAAATTCTGGGAAAGTTGAAAGCCAGTCTTTGGAATCTTGTGCTGACAAATATTCTTTAAATATGACATAAAAGCACAAATCAATCGCACATCTTTGCAGAAAATTCTACTGGACAGGGATGTCTTATATTAGGCATCAATAAAAAATACTCCCTGCACAAGTCCACCCTGCCACCTGTTTTTGTATAGTATGTGAGCTAAAAGTACTTACATTGAACAAATGCAAACAAGAAACAATATTTTTGAAACAAACATTTTATAGGAAATTTACATTTGTTTCTATAAAAATTGGAACATATCAATCCTCATTCATTTGCAGATTGTTTGTGACTGCTATCATGCTACAATAGCAGATGTCAAGAATTGCAACAGAAACCACATTGCCTGAAAAGTCTAAAATATTTACTATCTGGCCCATTACAGAGACAGTTTGCCAACTCCTGTCTCAGACTATCATCTCCAGCTAGATAAGTGGATCCAGCCTGTAGCAGAAGAACACATGTATCTGATTTGTAAAGAGGGTAGAATTGGCCACACAGTGCTGCTTTTTTCTGCACTGGGCTATTCCACGAAGAAGGGATTCAATGGGTAATCCCCTTGGGCTCTGGCTTCTCAGGGCTCAAAAGACATCAGGCACAGCATGAGCTCATCAGATGCAGCGTTCCCCTCCAGGAGGTCACCAAAGCTGATGCAGTGAACTGGGGAGACTGGCAACTCGTGCCTGATTCTTCAGTATATTTCTCATTTAATTAGTTATAGGAGAAGAAGTAAGTTTCATTACCATTACCCTCAGACCCTAATTTTGAGAAGCGAAAGTCTCCTGGTTATCTCCTGTGTTTGTGAAAACAGAGTGCATTGAAGTCTTTTCTCTTGTACTAACTCAGTGACCACTAGGGTAAGCCCCATAATCTCTAAGTAAATTATCAATTCTGTCTTCTTCAAAAGATGACATTAGTAATTGCAACCTTACCAAGTCTCATTGCTTTTTCCCCTTGAAAATACAACTTTCAGTTATATTATTTTTTATTTTACTAATAATATATATTGGTTTTGATTGGAAAAGAGTAGGTTTGAGATGGCAAATGGAGTGTCTGGATAAATACAGAAACCATGTGATAGAAGGCACTGCAAAGCTGTCAAGACAAAAATTGGTCTCAAGCTTCCAAAGGTAGGAGAACCTCAGAGAGCTAAGCTAACACTGACACTCAATTTTCAACTGGATTCACATTATGTCCAATTCTGAATCATGACAACAGGTATCATGTCATTATGACTGCCGATGGGAGAGGAATGAATCTTTCTTTGAAGAATATAAACCTCCTCTGCAATTCTGCAATTTCTTACATATACCATCTGGTATTTAACCAAAAGTTATCAGGCATTTCAAAGATACAACTAAGTGATCACAAGAAGAAAAGTGGGGAGAGGGAACGGCAATAAAAACAGTCTCACATTAGGAAACATTTCTTGCATAGTTTTATAAGGCTGGCATAATCTTAATATCAAAAATCTTGAAAATTCTGAGAAATAAAACTATAAACCAAATCTCTTGTGAATGTAAACACTGAAGTCCTAAACAATATGAAGAAGGCCAGTTCATCTCTATGTGCATACTTATTTCTATTTAGTGAGAAATGTAAGCCCAATATATATAATCTGATGTTGTGTGGATATTTGTCCCCTCCAAATCTCATGTTGAAATGTGATTCTCAATGTTGGAGGTGGGTTCTGGTGTGAGAAGTATTTAGGACATGGGGGTGAATTCTTCATGAGTGGCTTAAACCTCTTCCCATGATAATAAGTGAGTTCATATTCTGTTAGTTCACACACTAGCTGGTTGTTTAAAGTCACTTCTACTCCTTTTTCTCTTACTCCCTCTCTTGCCATGTGACATGCTTGCTTCCCCTTCACCTTCTCCGAAGATTGAAAGCTACCTGAAGTCCTTACTAGGAGTAGATGCCTGCCCACATTATGCCTCTTGCACAGCCTGCAGAGCCATGAGCCAAAATGAAACTCTTTTATTTATAAATTACCCAGTCAAAGATATTCCTTTATAGCAATGGAAATGGACTAACACACAATTATATAAATAGATGCAGAGTGTTGATTTGACAAGATTTTACACACAATTATGACATATATATATATGACAGCAAACTTCTCTAATCTGATAAAAAATATCTACCAAAATCTACTTCAAGCATCATTCTCAATATTGAAATGGAAAACTTCCACTGCTTCCTGCAGATTAGAAATGAGAAACAAGGATCCCCACTGTCACCAATTCTATTCAATGCTCTCCTAGAAATTCTAGCTAATGCAATAATGAATGTGATAAAGAGACATTAAGCCCATGAGAAATGGAAAATAAGAAATAAAACAATATTAACTCAGATACAGTATAATATACACAGAAATTACAATGAATCCAGAAATAAATTACGAATAGTGACTAGTAAATTTAGCAAAGTTGACAGATTAACATCATCAGAATGATAAAAACTATTTATGTTCTACAACAAAAATATTAATTATCTAGGGAAAACCAAAGACTCGAAAGCCATGACAACAAATTCACAACATTCCTGGTTAAATAAAAGAAACCCCAAACAAATTGGAAGCATAATTATATTCAGGAATGGAAAGCCTCAACGTGTCAAGATTCAGTTCTTTCCAAACTAGCCTATAAATTTAGTGTCACCCTGCCAGAAATTCCAGCCCAAGGTTTTGGGAAATTGACAAACTAATACCTTTAAAAATTATTTGGAAATATAAGCACCTAAGAGTAGCCAAACCAATCTTGAAGAAAGATAATAAATCTGGAGAACACACACTGCCAGACACTAGGACCTGTTACAAACCTTTATAGCCCCAAACTGGAAACAAGAGAAAGTCCAGTTAAACTGCCATACATATGAGTTATGCACTTCTCTCACCCGGTGATGGTAGAGGTTTAAAAATGATACTATGAATTTGGGGACTTCGAAAACATGGAGTTGCAGTGTAGGAGAAACAAACTTACCTTGGGAATGAGATAGTTTCTGAATTTAATGTCACAGGTCACTGCATGGGGCAGGCTGGTGGGGAGAAGGTCAATGTATCTCTGGACCTCGTGCACCACAGCATCTGTGTAGGGCATGTGGCTCCTGTCTTGCATGCAGGGGCTCCGGTTTCTGCCAATCACACGTTCAATCTCTTCCTGGACTTTAGCTGATAAGACACAAGTAAAAACTGATGGAAAAGGAGAAAAATGGCACATTTGTTGTAGCAATTCAGGGGTATATGAATCATGAAGGTATCCAAACATCATTATAAATTTAAATTATAGTGCTGGAAGTATATGCAAACTTAAAGAGAGGATGGTTACAGATGCACAAATGTGTAACTGCCATAAACCAGATATTAAGAAAAATCTGTACACATATAAGTGGAGAAAATTCTCTTCAATAAAGGAAGACAGGAAGAAATGAAAGAAGGAAGAGAAGTCCACAAAACAACCAGAAAACAAATAACAAAGGGGCATGGGTAAGTCCTTACTTATCAATAATAACACTGAATGTAAATGGAATAAAATCTCCAATCAAAAGACATACTGACCTGTTACTGACCTGGATGGAAAAACAAGACCTATTAATCTGTTGCCTAAAAGAAACACACTTCACTTATAAAGACACACATAGGCTGAAAATAAAGGAATTGAATGAGACAGTACCTGCCAATGGAAATGAAAAAAAGAGCATGAGTTACTATATTTAAAACAGACAAAGTAGATTTCAAAACAAAAACCATAAGGAGACACAAAGAAGATCACTATTGGTGATAAAGTGGTCAGCTTGGCAAGAAGATGGAACAAGTTTAAATATATATGCAACCAATAATGCAGCACCCAGATATATAAAAGACATATAATTAGAACTAGAGAGAGATAGGCCCCAATATAATAATACCTGGAGACTTCAACACCCCACTTTCAGCATTGGACAGGTCATCCAGATAGAAAATCAACAAGGAAACATTGAAATTCATCTGCACTATAGATCAAATGGATCTCATAGATATTTGCAGGATATTTTATCCAACTGCTACAGAATACACATTCTTTTCCACAGCACATGGATTGTTATCAAGAATTGACCGTATGTTAGGTCACAAAACAAGTCTTAAAATATTCAAAGAAACTGAAATAATATCAAGCATCTTCTCTGACCACAATGTAATAAAACCAGCAACCAATAACAAGAGGAATTTTGGAAACTACACAAATAAATGGAAATTTAAAAATATGCTCATAAATGAACAGTGGACCCATGAAGAGATTAAAAAGAAAATTGAAAAATTTCTTGAAACAAATGATAATGGAAACACAACATACCAAAACCTAGGGGTTACAGCAAGACCAGTACTAAGAGGGAAGTTTATAGCTACAAGAGCTTATATCAAAAATGGAGAAAATTGACAAACAAACAATTTAATGATGCATCCTAAAGAATTAGAAAAGCAAAAGCAAATTAAAACCAAAATTAGTAGAAGAAAAGGAATAATAAAGATCAGAGCAGAAATAAATAAAATTTAAGTGAAGAAAACAAAACAAAAGATCAATGAAACAAAAAGTTGCTTTTTTGAGAAGTTAAACAAAATTGACAAACCGTTAGCCAGACTAAGAAAAAAAAAAAGAGTAGATTCAGATAAATAAAAAATTAAAAAGGAGGCATTAGAACTGATACTGCAGAAATTCAAAGAATAATTATTGGTTACTATGAGCAACTATATGCCAATAAATTGGAAAATCTAGAAGAAATGGACAAATCCCTACACAAATATGACCCATCAAGATTGAACCAGGAAGAAATCCAAAATCTGAACATGCAATAACCAGCACAAAGATCAAACGAGAAATAAAATCATCCCAGTAGAGAAAATCCCAAGACTGGCTAGCTTCACTGCTGAATTTTACCAAACATTTAAAGAAGAACTAATACCGACCCTACTCAAACTATTCCAAAAAATAAAGGAGAAGAGAATACTTCCAAACTCATTCTATGAGGCCAGTATTACCCTGATACCAAAATCAGACTAAGACACATCAAAAAAAAAAAAAAAAAAAAAAAAAACTACAGGCCAATACACCTGATGAACACTAATGCAAAAATCTTCAACAAAACACTAGCAAACCAAATTCAACAATACAATAAAAAGGTCATTCACAATGACCAAGTGGGATTTATCCCTTGGATGCAAGAATGGTTCAACATGTGCAAATCAAGCAGTGTGATACATCATATCAACAGAATGAAGGATAAAAGCCATATGATCATTTCAGTTGATGCTGAAAAAGTATTTGATAAAATTTAACATCCCTTCTTGATGAAAATTCATAAAAAAAACTTGAGATAGAAGGAACATACCTCAACATAAAAAAGCTATATGACAGACCCACAACTAGTACTATCCTGAATGGAGAAAATAGGAAGTCTTTCCTGTAAGATCAGGAACACAACAAGGATGCCCATTGTCACCATTGTTATTCATCATAGTACTGGATGACCTAGCAAGAGCAATCAGACAAGAGAAAGATATAAAGGCTATCAAAATTGGAAAGGAAGAAGTCAAAATATCCTTGTGTGCAGATGATATAACCTTATAGTAGGAAAAACTAAAGATTCTACAAGATAATTATTAGAACTGATGAACAAATTCAGTAAAGTTGAAGGATACACAATCAACATAAAAATCAGTAGTGTTGTTATATGCCAACAGTGAAAAAAAAGAAAAAGAAATTTAAAAAATAATCCCATTGAAAATAGCCATACATAATTTTAAATACCTAGGATTAATTTAACCAAAGAATTGAAAGATCTCTATAATGAAAACTATAAAACACTGAGGAAAGAAATTTAAGAGGACCCAACAAACAGAAAAATATTTCATGTTCATGGATTGGAAAAATCAATATTGTTAAAGTGCCCATACTATCAAAACAATCTACAGGTTCAATAAAATTCCTATCAAAATATCAATGGCATTCTTCACAGAAATAGAAAAAATAAATCCTAAAATGTATATGGACCCACAAAAGACCCAGAATAGTCAAAACTATCCTAAGCAAAAGGAACAAAACTGGAGGAATCACATTATCTCACTTCAAATTAAACTACAGAGCTATACTAACTAAAACAGCATGGTACTGACATAAAAACAAACACATGGACCAATGAAACAGAATAGAGAATTCAGAAACAAGTTCACGTATCTAGAGTTAACTCATTTTTGACAAAGGGGCTGATATGGTTTGGCTGTGTCCCCACCCCAAATCTCATCTTGAATTGAAATAATCCCCACAAGTCAAGGGGGAGGCCAGGTAGGGATCATTGAATCATGGGGGTGGTTTCCTCCATATTTTTCTCATGATAGTGACTAAATCTCACAACATCTGATGGTTTTATAAATGTGAGTTCCCCTGCAAAGCTATCTGCCTGCTACCACGTAAGACATGACTTTTCTCCTCATTCATCTTCTGCCATGATTGTGAGGCCTCTCCAGCCATGTGGAACTGTGAGTCCATTAAACTTCTTTCCTTTATAAATTACCCAGTCTTGTGTATGGCTTTATTAGAGGCATGAGAACAGACTAACACAGGTGCCAAGAACGTACACTGGGGGAAAGACAGTCTCTTCAATAAATGTGCTGGGAAAATTTAATATCCTACAGAGAAGAATGAAACTGGACTCATATCCCTTGCCATATACAAAAATCAACTCAAAATGGATTAAAGACTTAAGTCTAAGACCTCAAACTGTGAAACTACTATAGGAAAACACTAGGGAAAATCTCCAGGACATTGGTCTAGGCAAAAATTTTTCGAGCAATACCCTACAAGCACAGGCATTCAAAGCAAACATGAACAAATGGGATCACATCAAGTTAAAAAGCTTCTGCACAGCCAAAGATACAATCAACAAAGGGAAAAGACAATCCACAGAATGGAGAGAAATATTTGCAAACTATTCATCTGACAAGAGATTAGTAATCAGAATATATAAGAAATTCAAGCAACTCTATAGAAAAAAAATCTAATAATCCAATCCAAAAGTGGGCAAAAGATTTGAATAGATGTTTCTCAAAAGAAGATATATAAATGGGTTACAGGCATACAAAAAGGTGGTCAACACCACTGATCCTCAGAGAAATATAAATCAAAACTACAATGAGATGTCATCTCACTCCAGTTAAAATGGCTTATATCCAAAAGACAGGCAATAACAAATGCTAGTGAGGATGTGGAGATAAGTGGACCCTCGTACAGTGTTGGTGGGAATGCAAATTAGTGTGACCTCTATGGAGAGCTGTTTAAATGTTCCTCAAAATCCTAAAAATAAAGCGACCATATGATCCAACAACCCTACTGCTTGGTATATACCCAAAAGAAAGGAAATAGGTATATCGAAGAGGTATCTGCACTCTTGTTTGTTGCAGCACTGTTTACAATAGCTAAGACTTTGAAACAACCTAAATATGCATCAACAGACAAATGTATAAAGAAAATGTAGTACATATACGCAATGTAGTTCTATTCAGCCATAAAAAGAATGAGATTCAGTCATTTGCAACAACATGAAGGGAACTGGAGATCATTACGTTAAGTGAAATAAGCCAGGCACAGAAAGACGAACATAGCATGTTCTCACTTATTTGTGGGATCTAAAAATAAAAGAATTGAACTAATGGACATAAAGTGTAGAAAGATGGTTACCAGAGACTCGAAAGGGTAGTGTGGGGGGAGGGGAGGTGGAGATGAATAAGATCTACTATATGATAGCACAAAAGGGTGACTATAGTCAATAATAACTTAATTGTACGTTTTAAAATAACTTAAAGAGTGTAATTGAATTGTTTGTAACTCAAAGAATAAATGCTTGAGGGAATAGATACCCCATTCTCCATGACATGCTTATTTCACATTGCATGCCTGTATCAAAACATCTCATGTACCCCCAAACATATTGATATATACCTACTTTGTACCCATAAAAATTAAAAAAAATTAAAAGATATGTATATACATATACATTAGTATATATGATAATTAATACAAATAAAAATAATAAAATGTTTGAAAACATAAAGTAAGCATATAATTTAGTCATGAAATTACTGTCTTTGAAAAACAGATTAATTTCATATCAAAATAACATATGTTGCTTAAACGTTAAATTATACTATCAGATTTATGCATATATATGACTGTATTGGTGCATCTGTGTGTGGGAGGGGTCACAAATCACAATGGTATTCTCTTCATTCTCACACTTTCCAAATCTACCATTTTGAACATTCTAGCAGCTTCTTCTGAACATACATTCACATTTTTAAATACTCTGTTTCTAATTCTTACTTATCTTTTTGTAGATTATATTTAATAATTTTTTATTAAGAGAGATGAGAATTTTAATCTCCATCTTCCCCTCATATTTGAACACACCCTCAGATAGACACACTCACTTTTCCACACTGCTTTTTCCAGAATATATTTAGATGACAATTTTTATGATATCAGTATTCATTGCTTACATCATTCTGACTACACAAATATGGTTCTCTGGTAAGACAACTATGATTAAATTTTATTTTTGTACTTTCCTGGGCTTAACAATGTCTCTTTATTTCAATTTGTAATTTTCCATTTCCCAAGTTAGAATTATTTACAAATGTTCCAGCAGATGTTTGAAACTCCTTTTTAGTTATTGGAAACTCTCATAAAATCTGTCACATCTCTTTTGTTCTTGCTGTCTCATCTCACTTCTGAATTATCCCCCAGGTCTGTTCTGAAGTAGTTGTTTTCTAGGTCTGGTGCTAGGCAGCCTCCCTGACACTCTCATTCTCCTACACGAGGTTTCCTGATTGCTGGAGCTCAGGACTTTCTCTAACAAGGTTTCAGGCATTTGAATGAAGAACATTCTTCAGTATTTTTCTGAGAAAGGGAAAATGGTAAAAATTTTTGGCAAACATGCACATCTGAAAACACTATTTTTATTAATATACAAGATAATATTAATAGTTCTTCTTGAGAATTCTGAATTCTAATTCTTTCAATATAACCTGGTACAGCTCTGAAAGTTTTTGTGATTTTCCCTTTAATTCTCATGTCCTGAAATTCCATAACCCTGTATCTAGCAGTATATGTTTTCATTTCATTCACTCTGTTGGACATTGAAGAGAATTGTCTGTTAAGATGGCAAAAGAAAAATGCCATTTCTCTAGATCAGTTCCCTTTCTGTAGGATAGAGCTAGCTGCTGAATTTTAGGAAGGAAGATGAATAAAAGAGCTAAGAGTCTCTGAATTCAAGGAGTGGATGTGTACCTAATCTGTCTTTCTAGCCTACACCTCATGCCTTTTCTGGCACTGCTGTGTGTCTCTGAGTACAGGGCTTCTTAAGCTCAGTTTCTCTAGAGAGTGAGCCTCCTTCTTCTTGTGGAAGGAAATCAGTTACCTGATGAAAAGAGTTGTGGAGGAAACGTAGGCAGGGAGAGCCTCCTTTTTCAGCCTCATTCTCCACCATCTTTGACCCTCGGTACTTCCAAATACCAATATTGGGAGGATTTAAGGGACACTGATTAACTTTTCATCCTTGATAAATTTTTCTCTTCTGACCTTTTGGTTATAAGTTTACCCTCTCTGTACAGATATATCATTCCTCTATATGCTCTCTGTTTTTAGAAATTTGTTAAAGTCTTCTTGACTATTTCCTGTACTCTTCCTACCTTAAAGGACCTAAATGTCTAATATCCAAAATCTAAATATGTATCAACAGACAAAATCTATAAAAAACTTAAACAAATCAACAAGCAAAAAAAAAAAACAAAAAAAATCAATTAAAATTGGGCAAAAGACATGAACAGCCACTTCTCAATAGATGACATACAAGCAGCCAACAAACTTATGAAAAAATGCTCAACATCACTAATCATCAGAGAAATGCAAATCAAAATCACAATGAGGTACCATCTCACACCAGTCAGAATAGCAATTATTAATATTAAAAAGTCCAAAAACAACAGATGCTGGTGAGGTTGCAGAGAAATGGAAATGCTTTTACACTGTTGGTGGGTATGCAAACTAGTTCAGCCACTGTGGAAACCAGTTTGGATATTTCTGAAAGAACTTAAAATAGAACTACCAGTTGACCCAGCAATCCCACTATGGAGTATATGCCCCCAAAATATTCATTCTATCAATAAGACACACACCCCAATATGTTCACCCCAATATGTAGTGCTATTCACGATAGCAAAGAAATGGAATCAACTTATGTGCCCATCGACAGTGGATTGTATAAGGAAAATGTACCAAATATACACTGATATGGTTAGGCTGTGTCCCCACCAAAATCTCATCTTGAATTGTAGCTCCCATAATTCCCACACGTCACGGGAGGTACTCAATGTGAGGTAATTTAATCATGGAGGCCTGACTTTCCCATGCCATTCTTGTGATAGTGAATAAGTCTCTATCAGAGACTTATTGTGAGGCCTTTCCAGCCGTGTGGAATTGACAGTCCATTAAACCTCTTTCCTTTATGAGTTACCCTGTCTCAGGTATGTCTTTATTAGCAGCATGAGAACAGACTAGTACATACATAATGGAATGTTATGCAGCCATAAGAAAGAACAAAAGTTATGTCTTTTGCAGCATTATAGATGAAGCAGGAGGCCATTATCCTAAGCAATCTAATACAAGAACAGAAAACCAAATACCACATGTTCTTGCTTATAAGTGGGAGGTAAGCATTGAATACACAAGAACATAAAGATGGGAACAATAGACACTGAGGATCACTAGATGGGGGAGGGAGAGAAGAGATGTGGGCTGAAGAACCATCTGTTGGGTAATATGTTTACTGTCAGTGTGATGGAATAGCTGGGACCCCAAGCCTCAGTGTTACACAACTTACCTATGTAACAAACCTGTATTTGTACCCTTTAATCTATAATAAAATTTGACAAAAAATCTTCTAGAACTCTATAGGCTAGTAACTGTTCAAAAAAAAGCCTAATTCTTATTTATAATTAGGTTATTGTCATTTCAATGGGGGATACTGACATAGGAGAAAAAAAGAATATTTCTTATCTGCAGCATAACCAAAAGTCCTTAAAAGTAAATTTCTAAAGTAAAGTTGTTCATAAAAGATAAAATTATTGACTTCCTCAAAAAAATCTTATTTTGCCCAACAACAGTTTCATGGAAACTGTCTCAGGTACATATTCTGCCTAAATGGAACATTCTTTATATACCTCTTCTAGTAAACAGAATCACCTTTCTTATGAATCTAACTTTTTAGAGTACTTATTGGACTAGGAATTTTCTCAGGCAGATCACTACATTTTTAGGATTACCATTTATCCTTCAATAAGGAGAGTTTCAAGTTTCCCTACTCCAGCATTCGAACCTGAAATTTTGAGAATGAGAAAAGTTATCTTGAAGAATATACTTGCTATTTAAAATGGCCTTCTCATAATAAAACCAACATGCAATCCCAGGCCAATTTATCTTGTCTCTTCCTGCCATAAATCCAGACACATTGGACCAGAGTTCTACTGCTTTTGCTACTGCCATGCTGTCTTCATTTCTCTCAGTTATCTTCCTCTACTGTGCAAAGATGCCCCTTTTATCTTTTCTTTTTCTTTTTTTCTTTTTTTTTCTTTCTGAGACAGAGTCTCACTCTGTTGCCCAGACTGGAGTATAGTGGCAAAATCTTGGCTCACTACAACCTCCACCACCTGGGTTCAATTGATTCCAGTGCCTCAGCCCCTCGAGTAGCTGGGATTACAGCCATGTGCCACCATGCCTGGCTAAGTTTTGTATTTTTACTACAGATGGGATTTGGCCATGTTGGCCAGGCTGGTCTTGAACTCCTAGCCTCAAGTGATCCACCCACCTCAGCCTCCCAAAGTGCTGGGATTACAGGTGTGAGCCACCATGCCAGGCCAAGATATCCCATTGTAATCACCATTAGTTTGAAACAGATTACAGCTGGAAGCACAAAAGTTTAAATAATGAAGCTTCTCTAAGAGAAACAGGAAGGAGGACACTAGCAACACCTTCCCAAAATCTTTTCTGAAAATTAATTAACTTATCATCTCTGATCATACCTGTGACCTCTGGGTGCTTCAGCAGGAGAAGGAGAGCATATCTCAGGGTTGTGCTTGTCGTCTCTGTCCCAGCTCCAAACAAGTCAACTGCAGTGTTTTCCAAGCTTTCAATAGTAAATTCAGATGGTTGGTTGTGCTTTTCCTAGGAATGATTTGATGCAATTATCTGACAAATTATTTACCAGCATATTTGATTACAGTGAATTCAAAATTATTCACATAGTTATATAGTTACCAACATAGAAACTGGAAAGTACAGTACTAGAAAAAAAATACTGCTTGTATAGCAGAGGCTGTAGACCAACTTGCCCAAACTTTATTTCCTACTCCCTTATTCCATGCTTGCCTAAAAATTCCATTCATCAGGCTCTTTGCAGCTAGCTGAGTCACACAGCATATTTTTTTTTGCTAAAATATATAAGCAGAAGGTCTCTAGGTCCATTTCCTCTATTTCCTCTTTCATACTCAAAACACAAATGTGAAGTAGGAGGTAGAGTAGACCCCATCCTGGGATTTAATCATCAAAATGAAGGTCTGTATACTAAATTTAGTGGGAAAAAGGAAGGCACTTGACTCTCTGCTGCTTTGGGGCTGCTGTATTATCCTAGATTGCCCCACCAAGAGAATCCCTGTATTTGAGATAAATAAAGACATTATGTGTTAAAGCCATTATTACCTGTAGACAACCACAATCTAAATTAATAGAAAACGTAAATTGGGGCCATATCATTAGACACTGTGAGCCTGAATCAAGAGTCTGCAATTATATTTTTCTGTCAGAAAGGTACATGGACTCAATATTGCCCCCAGATTCATTATAAAGTTGAAATTTTGTAAAAACAAATATTAAAAAAGCAATATGACAGCAAAACCTAAGATAAATTATAGAGGAAGAGAATGGGTTTACAATGACAAGATGGGCCCACACTATTATAATCTAGATGGGAGGCAACAGACAACTTGTTCTAGGGTGCAGTAGTGCAGGAATAAACAAAAATATACAAAGTGAAGAGAAAGAACAATGATGAAGATGGAGAATAAAGGGATTAATTGCCACAGGGGATAAAGGAGAGAGTAAGGATACTGCATATGCCAAGGCTTAGAGACTGGAGTTCTCATAATTTGGAAGTTGGGAGAAAGAAAGCAATGGATAAGGAATACTTAGTTGAAAGAGATCATCAATATAAAAAACGTATTACTTTTTAACCAGCCCCAAGGCCAGCAGCAATAAATTAATGATGCTTTTAGAGTCTCCAAGTGATGTGTGTCATGTTGAATATTGTGTAATCAACACCACTGAAATAGACTAGATTCTCTCAACATGTGTAGACAAAGACAGTCCTCTCCCTTGGTAACATCAGCTTCACACAGTTTTCTAAGCTTGCCATGTTGAAAATTACTCTTAAGTAAGAAGAACAGTGCAGTCACAAACCAGTATTAACATTTCCATCTCTTGACTTGAGCTTGGTTACTTAGCATTAATAAGGTAGTATATCCTATCTTATTAATGATAGTAGCCATATTCTACTTGCTGGGCTCAAATCTAAAGAGCACCCCTTCTACATCAGAGGCAGGCCACGGCATTTTCCTGCACCTCACCCTCAGAAACAGATTCACAGCCACAACTCAGTCTGTGGGCTTCAGCTGCTAAGGTGTGCTAGAGTCATAGACCTTGGTTCTGTGGGTAATCTGCATTCAACACTGCCACAGAGAGTGAACCTGCACCGCAAGACCCAGGTGTCACAATACATGATTAAAAGACCCTGAGTCTAGAATGATGCTTCTATGACAACTTCAAGGATCTGTACTTGTAACCCAGCACCAATGCCGCTGAGTTAATGCCATGTCAGAGATGACACCAAAAGGAATCCCTTAGGCTAAGTCACCCCAATTTTAGGAAAATAAAAATAGGAGGACGCCCAAATACTTTGACACTAAGGACATTAACAACCTACACTGCTCCTGATACTGCTGCAAACTTCTACAGCCTAGGCCACTGAGGCACCCAAAATTATTGCTGATATTGGCCATAGCTAGAGAAACTACACAGATACTATCACAATGCATCTATCAAAAACTGAGTTACCCACTCTTCGTCACCTGCACACAAACACTCAACTTCAGATAAAAGTCTTTCTCTATGAAATTCACTCTAGAGATTTTGGAATAGCAATTGTTCCATCACATGCATAGACATAAATTCAGAGACACAACATGAAAAATAAAGAAATATGGCACCACCAAAGGGACATAATAACTCTCAAATAACAGACCTCAATGAAAAAAAATCCACAAATATTCAAAAAAGGAATTCAAAATAATTACCTTAAAGAAACTCAATCAGGAGGGTGGCTGGCAAGATGACTGAATAAGAAAAGCTCCAGTCAGCAGCTCCCAGCGAGATCAATGAAGAAGGTAGGTGATTTCTACATTTCCAACTGAGGTACCTGGCTCATCTCACTGGGAATGTTTAGACAGTAGGTGCAGTGCATGGAGGCTAAACTGAAGCAGGGAGGAATGTTGTCTCACCTTGGAAGCCCAAGGGATTGGTGAACTCCCTCCCATAGCCAAGGAAAGCCTTGAGGGAATGTGCTGTGAAGAACGGTGCACTCTGGCCCAAATACTGCAGTTTTTCCATGGTCTTCACAACCCACAGACCAGAAGATTCCCTTCAGAGCCTACACCACCAGGGCCCTGGGTTTCAAGCACAAAACTGGGTGGTCATCTGGGCAGACACCAAGATAGCTGGAGGGGTTTTTTTATGCCCCAGTGGTGCTGTAACACCAGCAAGTCAGAACCATTCAGTCCCCTGGAAAGAGGACTGAAGCCAGGGAGCCAAGAGATCTAGCTCAGGGGATCTCACCCCCATGGAGCCCAGCAAGCTAAGATCCACTGGCTTGAACTTCTGTTTGCCAGCACAGCAGTCTGAAGTTGACTGGGGATGTTCGAGCTTGGGGGGGGTGGGGGGGTGAGGGGAGTCTGCCATTGTTGAGGCTTGAGTAGGTGGTTTTCCCCTCACAGTGTAAACAAAGCCTCCAGGAAGCTAGGACTAGGTGGAGTCCACTTCAGCTCCGCAAAGCCACTGTAGCCATACTGCCCCTCTAGTTTCCTACTCTCTGAGCAGTTGCATCTGTGAAAGACAGGCAACAGTCCCAGTCAGGGGCTTATAGATAAAACTCCCATCTCACTGTACTGAGAACCTGGAAGAAGGGGTGGCAGTGGGTGCAGCTTCGGCAGACTTAAATGTTCCTGCCTGCTGGCTCTAAAGAGAACAGCAGACCTCCCAGCAGGGGTCAACAGACACCTCATACAAAAGAGCTTTGGCTGGCATCTGGCAAGTGTCCCCCTAGGATGAAGCTTCCAGAGGAATAAACACACAGCAATCTTTGCTGTTCTGTGGCCTCCTCTGGTGATACCCAGTCAAACAAGGTTTGGAGTGGACCTCAAGCAAACTCCAGCAGACCTGCAGCAGAAGGGCCTCACTGTTAGGAAAAAAACTAGCAAACAGAAAGGAATAGCATCAACATCAACAAAAAGGATGTCCACGCAAAAAACCCATTCAAAGGTCACCAACATCAAAGACAAGAGGTAGATAAATCCACAAATATGAGAAAAAAAAAAACAGCACAAAAAGGCTGAAAATTTAAAAAACCAGAACATCTCTTCTCCTCCAAAGAATCACAACTCCTTGCCAGCAAGGGGACAAAACTGGACAGAGAAAGAATTTGATGAATTGACAGAAGTAGGCTTCAGAAGGTGTGTAATAACAAACTCCACTGAGCTAAAGGAGCATGTTCTAACCCATTGCAAAGAAGCTAAGAACCTTGAAAAAATGTTAGACGAATTGCTAACTAGAGAAGAACATGAGTGACCTGATGGAGCTGAAGAACACAGAATGAGAACTTTGTGAAGCATAAATAAATATCAATAGCCAAATTGATAAAGCAGAAGAAAGGATATCAGAGATTCAAGGTCAACTTAATGAAATAAAATGTGAAGAAAAAAGTTAAAAAATAAGAATAAAAAGAAATGAACATAGCCTCCAAGAAATGTGGCGCTATGTGAAAAGACCAAATCTACGTTTGATTGGTGTACCTGAAAGTGATGGGGAGAATGGAACCAAGTTGTAAAACATTCTTCAGGATATTATCCAGGAGAACTTCCACAATCTAGCAAGACAGACCAACATTCAAATTCAGGAAATACAGAAAACACCCACAATGATACTCCTCAAGAAGGGCAACCCCAAGACACATAATTGTCAGATTCACCAAGGTTAAAAGAAAGGAAAAATGTTAAGGGAAGCCAGAAAGAAAGGTCGGGTTACCACAAAGGGAAGCCCATCACCACAAGGGGATTTTGTCATCACCAAGCCTGCCTTACAAGAGCTCCTGAAGGAAACACTAAATATGGAAAGGATCAACTGGGAACAGCCACTGCAAAAACATACCAAATTTTGTAAAGACCGTCAACACTATAAAAAAAACTGCATCAACTAAAAGGCAAAATAATCAGCTAGCATCATAATGGCAGGATTAAATCCACACACAATATTAACCTTAAATGTAAACAGGCTAAATGCCCCAATTAAAAGACACAGACTGGCAAATTGGATAGAGTCAAGACCCATCAATGTGCTGTATTCAGGAGACCCATCTCACGTGAAAAGACACACATAGGCTCAAAATAAAGGGATGGAGGAATATTTACCAAGCAAATGGAAAGCAAAACAAAGCAGGGGTTGCAATCCTAGTCTCTGATAAAACGCACTTTAAACCAACAAAGATTAAAAAAAGGGGTGGTATCATATAATGTTAAAGGGATCAATGCAACGAGAACAGCTAACTATCCTAAATAGATACACACCCAATACAGGAGCACCCAGATTCATAAAGCAAGTTCTTAAAGACCTACAAAGAGGCTTAGGCTCCCACACAATAATAGATGGAGGCTTTAACACCCCACTGTCAATATTAGACAGATCAATGAGACAGAAGGTTAACTAGGATCTCCAGGACTTGAACTAAGCTCTGGACCAAGCGGGCATAATAGACATCTAAAGAACTCTCCACCCTAAATCAACAGAATATGCATTCTTCTCAGCACCACTTCACACTTATTCTAAAATTGACCACATAATTGGAAGTAAAACACCCATCAGCAAATACAAAAGAACAGAAATTAAAGCAAACAACCTATTAGACCACAGTGCCATCAAATTAAAACTCAGGATTAAGAAACTCACTCAAAACTGCACAACTACATGGAAACTGAACAACCTGCTCTGAATGACTACTGGGTAAATGACAAAATGAAGGCAAAATAAAGATGTTCTTTGAAACCAATGAGAACAAGGACACAGTGTACCAGAATCTCTAAGACACAGCTAAAGCAGTGTTTAGAGGGAAAATTATAGCACTAAATGTCCAGAGGAGAAAGCAGGAAAGATCTAAAATCAACACCCTAACAACACATTTAAAAGAACTAGAAAACCAAGAGCAAACAAATTCAAAACCTAGCAGAAGACAAAAAATAACTAAGATCAGAGCAGAATTGAAGGAGATAGAGACAGGAAAATCCCTTCAAAATATCAAAGAATACAGGAGCTAATTTTCTGAAAAGATTAACAAAATAGGCTGCTAGCCAGACTAATAAAGAAGAAAAGAAAGAAGAATCAAATAGAGAGAACAAAAAAATGATAAAGGGGATATCACCACTGATCCTACAGGAATACAAACTACCATCAGAGAATACTATAAACACCTCTATGCAAATAAACTAGAAAATCTAGAAGAAATGGATAAATTCCTAGACACACCCTCCCAAGACCAAACCAGGAAGAAGTCGAATCCGTGAAGAGACCAATAACAAGTTCTGAAATTGAGGCAGCAAGGAATAGCTCACCAAGCAAAAAAAAAGCCCAGGACCTGAAGGATTCACAGCCGAATTCTACCAGAGGTACAAAGAGGAGCTGGTACCATTCCTTCTGAAACTACTCCAAACAGTAGAAAAAGACGCACTCTTTCCTAACTCATTTTATAAGGGAAGAATCATCCTGATACCAAAACTTGGCAGACATAAAACAAAAAAAAGAAAATTTCAGGCCAATATCCCTGATGAACATCCATGCGAAAATCCTCAACAAAATACTGGTAAACTGAATCCAGCAGCACATCAAAAAGCTTATCCACCACGATCAAGTTGGCTTCATCCCTGGGATGCAAGCCTGGTTCAACATATGCAAATCAATAAATGTAGGCCGGGCGACGTGGCTCACACCTATAATTCCAGCACTTTGGGAGGCTGAGGTGGGTGGATCACAGGGTCAGGAGTTTGAGACCAGCCTGGCCAACATGGTGAAACTCAGTTTCTACTAAAGATACAAAAAATTAACCAGGCGTGGTGGGTTATTCTTTTGGGTTATTTATACCCAAAAGAATTGAAAGCAGCACATCAAAGAGATATTTTTTTACCCATATTCATAATAGCATTACTCAAAAAGTCAAAAGGTGAAAGTAATCCAAGTGCCCATCAACAGATAAATGGGTAAGCAAACTTGGTTTATACATACAACGGAATATTATTCACCCTTAGAAAGGAAGAAAAATCTGACACATGCAAAAACATGAATGAACCCTGAGAACATAACATTAGGCTAAGTGAAATAAACCAGTCACAAAAGGCAAATATGTAATGATTCCACTTTTATGAGGTACCCAGCATACTCGATTTTATAGAGACACAAAGTAGAATGTTGGTTGCCATGGGGTGGTGGAAGGGAGAAATGTAGAGTTATCATTTGAGGTGGGGGTGTGGTTCTACAACATTTCTTGTCGCATCATCCACGTCTCTGGACACTTCTCTTTGGGCAACCCATTCCCTTTGATTTCAGATAAATTTCAGGGCAAGTGATAAGGGAATGGGAATTTTAACTGCAGTTAGTCCACACAGTATCTGGCAGATAAGACTGACAAAGACCTCAAATAATGTGGTGGGCCACCTTTACAAGGCCCATCTTCTGCTCTTGTGTTACTATGGACACATTTCATGGAATTATTAATATGAATTAGTTTGCACAGTTGAGGAAATTATGTTACTTTCATTTTGTTTGTTGATTGCTTTGTTGGTAGAGACAGGGTTTTGCCATGTTACCCAGGCTAGTCTCGAACTCCTGAGCTCATCCAATCTGCCCACCTCAACCTCCCAAAGTGCTGGGATTACAGACATGATCTACAATGCCCGGCCAAGAGTTATTATTAAATGGGTATAAAGTTTCTGTTTTGCAAGATGAAAAGAATTCTACAGATGTATGGCAGTGACATTTGCACAACAATGTGAATGTAATTAATACCAAAATACTATGCACTTAAAATGATTAATACAGAAACTTTTATGTTATGTGTATTTTGCAACAATTTTTTACAAAATTAAAAAATTATAATAATAAACATTATAAAAATAAATCTCACAATAAGCAAGTGAGATTTATCCCAGAAATTCAAAAGTGGTTCAACAAGAAAGTCAATCAGTGCACTACACCATATCAGAATAAAAGAGAAAATCATGTTCATCTCATTAGATGCAGAAAAAAAAATTGACAACTTTTAATACCCATCATAACAAAAACACTCAGAAAACTATAAATGAAATAAAACTCCTTTATCATAATAAAGCATATTTATGAAAACTGCAAAGCTAAAGCATACTAAATTGTGAAAGACTAAAACTTGTAACTTAAAATCAGAAAGAAAAGAAAAAAAACAAGGATGTCCATTTTTACTACTATTAAACATAGTATTGGAAGTTCTAGCCAGAGCAATTAGGCAAGAAATAAAATAAAACACATTCAAATAGGAAAGGAAAAATTCAAATCATGTGTATTTGACTGAAACATGATTCTCTCTATATAGAAAAATCTCATGCAATACAGATAGAAAATAAGTAGAGCTAATAAATGATTTCAGCATAATTTCAGGGTACAAGATCAATGCAAAAATCAGTTGTCTCTCAGTGCTGGTGCTAGTGCCTGCCATTAGGGGACCTGTAGACAGGACTGCCCAGTCCAGTGACACCGATCTTTATCCCCCTGGGGCTCAGCAGGGAGCCCAGACTACTCTGAATTCCACAGATGAACAGATTATCTGAGGAAACAGAGAAGTTCCCCCAGAAAACAAGGATCAAGCTGTGCTATATCAAGTTGTCCTAGTCACAGCTGGCTTTTGCTCATAAGTGCCATCTACTGACATGTATGTCAAACTGCACAGGCCAATATAAAACTACCCACAGAAGTGAACACAGCTATAGAATCCAAGTCAAAGGCCCTACCCAACATACTTTATAGTCACATCCCATAGGAAGGGGAAGAGAAAAAGGAAAGAACAAAAATAGGGAGAGAAAAACAATTCTATCTGCACAAAAATAATTTCAAAAATCAGAAGCGGCAGCCTCTCCAAATAAGAAGAAACCAGCATAAGACTTCTGGCACCATGAAATGTCTGAATGTCGTAAAACCTCCAAAGGATCACATGAACTCCCCAGCAATGAACCCTAACCAAACTGGCAACTCAGAAATGACAGATAAACTATTCAAAATATGGACTGCAAGTAAGCTCAGTGATCCAAGGCAGGGTTGAAAATTAATGCAAACAAACTACTAAAGCAGTCCAGGAAATGGAGCGAGAAGTAAACATCTTAAAAAGAAATCAATCAAAGCTTCTGGAATTGAAAGAGTCACTTAAGGAATTTCAGAATTCAATTGAAGCGTTTATCAATAGACTGGACCAATTTCAGAGCTTGAACACCAGTCTTTTGAACTAACCAAGTCAGACAAAAATAAAGAAAAAATAATTTTAATAAATGAACAGTCTTCAAGAAATATCTGATTATTTAAAAGGAGTAAACCTAGGAATTATTGGCATTCCTGAGAGAGAAGAAAAAGTAAACAATCTAGAAAATACATTTGGGCTAATAAGTTGAGAAAATTTTCCCAAACTTGCTAGAAAGGTAGACATCCAAATACAATAAACCCAGGGAATATATGTGAGACACTATACAAAATTAACATCACCAAGGCATTTACTCACCAGGCTGTCCAAAGTCAAGGCTAAAAAATAATTTTAAAGGCAGCTAGAGAAAAAAATCAGATCACATACAAAGAGAACCTTGTCAAGCTAAAAGGATGCTCAGCCTATTTTCAACATTCATTTTAATAAAAATTACAAAAAAGAATTTTATATTTTGCCAAACTATGCTTCAAAATCAAGGAAGAAATACAATCTTGTCCAAACAAGTAACTACCAGGAAAATCTGTTACCATTAGACCAGCCTTATAAGAGATCATTAAGGGAGTTCTAAATATGGAAGTGAAAGAACAATACCTGCTACCACAAAACACACTTAAGTATATAGCCCACAGACTCTATAAAGCAATCACACAATAGAAACTACAAAACAACCAGCTAACAACTTCACAATAGAATCAAAACCTCATATATCAGTGTTAACATTGAAGATAAAGTCTAAATGCTCCACATAAAAGGCAAAGAGTAGGAAGTTGGATTAAAAATAAGACCCATCCTTCTACTGTCTTCAAGATTGCAAGGCCCATCTCCTACTAGTAGAAGTAGAAGACCCATCTCAGACCTAGAAGACCCAATTCAGACCTAGAAAACCCTAAAGAACTTTCCAAAAACTCCTGGAACTGACATACAACTTCAGTGAGATTTCAGTACACAAAATAAATATGCAAAAATCTGTAGCATTTTTAAACACCAAAAATGTTCATCCTGAAAGCCAATCAAGAACTCAATCCCATTTACAATAGCCACAAGAAAAAACCTAGGAATACAACTAACAAAGGGGGCAAAAAGGTCTCTACAAGGAGAGCTACAAAATACTGATGAACAAAATCATAGATGACACAAACAAATGGAAAAACAGTTCAGGCTTATGGATTGAAACAATCAATATCATTAAAATGGCTAGACTGCCCAAAGCTATCTACAGATTCAATGCTATTCCTATCAAACTACCAATATTATTTTATTCTAAAATTCATATGGAACCAAAGAAGAGCCCAAATCCAAAGCAATCCTAAACAAAAAGAACAGTGGGAAGCTTCACATTGACTTCAAACTATACTGTAAGCTACAGTAACCAAGAGAGCATGTAACTGGTACAAAACACAAATTGAACAGAAGTAGAGAAGCCAGAAATAAAGCCACACACCTATAGCCATCTGATCTTCAACAAAGTTGACAAAAAATAATCAATGAGGAAAGAATTCTCTATTTAGTAAATTGAATGAGGATAACTGACTAGCCATATGCAGAATGAAACTGAAACACTTCCTTGAACCATATACAATAATTAACTCGAAATGGATTAATGATCTAAATTTAAGACCTCAAACTATAAGAATCTGATGGAAAAATATCTATAAAATAACATTCTGGATACAGGCTTTAGCAAAGAACTTATGAATAACTCCTCAAAAGCAATTGTAACCAAAATGAATATTGACAAGTGGGACCTAATTAAAGAGCTTCTGCACAGCAAGAGAAACTATCAACAGAATAAACAGACAACCTACAGAATGGGACAAAATATTTGCAAACTGTGAATCCAACAATGTTTCAATAGCGAGAATCTATAAGGAAGTTAGACAATTCAACAAGTTAAAAAACAAGTAACCCCATTAAAAAGTGGGCAAAGGACATATGTCCTTCCAAAGAAGACACACACATGGCCAACAAGCATATGAGAAAACACTCAACATCACTAATCATCAGAGAAATGCAAATCAAAACCACAATGAGATATCATCTCATGCCAATCAAAATGGATATGATTAAAAAGCCAAAAAATAACAGATGTTGGTGAGACTGCAGAGAAAACAGAACACTTATATACTACTGGTGGGAATGTAAGTTAGTTCAGCCACTATGGAAACCAGTTTTGAGATTTCTCAAAGAACTAAAAGCAGAACTACCATTCGATGCAGCAATTCCACTACTGAGTATGTACCCAGAGGAAAACAAATTGTTCTACCAAAACGACACGTGCTAGTATGTCCATTCCTGCACTATTCACAATAGTAAAGACATAGAACCAACCAATCATGTGTCACATAAACAAAATGTGGTGTATATACACCATGAAATGCTATGCAGCCATTAAAAAAAATCATGTCTTTGCAGCAACATAGATGTAGCTGGAAGCCATTATCTTGAGGGAATTAATGCAGCAACAGAAATCCAAATACCACATGTTCTCATATAAAAGTGGGACACAAAGATGGAAAAAATACACAAGGAATTACTATAGAGGGTAGAGAGATATAAAGGCAAGGGCTGAAAAACTACCTATTGGGTACTAGTCTCACTACCTGTGTGATGGCATTATTTGTACCCTAAACTTCAGCATCACACAATATACCTATGTAAGACACATGAACGTGCACTTCAAAATAAAAGTTGAGAACATTTGGAGCCAAGATGGCTGAATAGGAACAGCTCCAGTCTACAGCTCCCAGCATGAGCGATGCAGAAGATGAATGATTTTTGCATTTCCAACTGAGGTACTGGGTTCATCTCACTGGGGATTGTGAGACAGTGGGTACAGGACAGTGGGTGCAGTGCATGGAGCCTGAGCTGAAGCAGGGTGAGGAATCACCTCACCTGGGAAGTGCAAGGGGTCAGAGAATTCCCTTTCTTAGCCAAGGACAGAAGGCATCTGGAAAATAAGGTCACTTCCACCCTAATACTGTGCTTTTCTGATGGTCTTAGCAAATGGCAAACCAGGAGATTATATCCCGTGCCTGGCTCAGAGGGTCTTATGCCCACTGAGGCTCACTCATTCCTAACACAGCAGTCTGAGATCAAACAGCAAGGCAGCAGCGAGGCTGGGTGAGGGGTGCCCCCCATTGCCAAAGCTTGAGTAGGTAAACAAAGCGGCTGGGAAGCTCGAACCAGGTGGAGCCCACCGCAGCTCAAGGAGGCCTGCCTGCCTCTGTAGACTCCACCTCTGGGGTCAGGGTATAGCCAAACAAAAGGCAGCAGAAAATTCTGCAGACTTAATTGTCCCAGTCTGACAGCTTTGGAGAGAATAGTGGTTCTCCCAGCACAAAGCTTGAGACCTGAGAATGGACAGACTGCCTCCTCAAGTGGGTCCCTGATCCCCTTGTAGCCTAACTGGGAGGCACCCCCCATTAGGGGCAGACTGACACCTCACAAGGCTGGGTACTCTTCTGAGACAAAACTTCCAGAGGAACGATCAGGCAGCAACATTTGCTGTTCACCAATATCCGCTGTTCTGCAGCCTCCGCTGCTGATACCCAGGCAAACAAGGTCTGCAGTGGACCTCTGGCAAACTCCAACAGACTGCAGCTGAGGGTCCTGACTGTTAGAAGGAAAGCTAACAAACAGAAAGGACATCCACACCAAAATCCCATCTGTATGTCACCATCATCAAAGACCAAAGGCAGATGAAACCACAAAGACAGGGAAAAAACAGCAGAAAAACTGAATATTCTAAAAATCAGAGTGCCTCTCCTCCTCCAAAGGAACACAGCTCCTCACCAGCAATGGAACAGAGTTGGATGGAGAATGACTTTGATGAGTTGAGAGAAGTCTTCAGACAATCAAACTAGTCTGAGCTAAAGGAGGAAGTTTGAACCTATGGCAAAGAAGTAAAAAACCTTGAAAAAAGATTATATGAATGGCTAACTAGAATAACCAATGCAGAGAAGTCCTTAAAGGACCTGATGGAGCTGAAAATCATGGCACAAGAACTACGTGATGAATGCATAAGCCTCTATAGCCGATTTGATCAACTGGAAGAAAGGGTATAAGTGATGGAAGATGAAATGAATGAAATGAAGTGAGAAGAGAAGTTTAGAGAAAAAAGAATAAAAAGAAACGAACACAGCCTCCAAGAAATATGGGCCTATGTGAAAAGACCAAATCTACATCTGATTGGTGTACCTGAAAGTGACGAGGAGAATGGAACCAAGTTGGAAAACACTCTGCAGGATACTATCCAGGAGAACTTCCCCAATCTAGCAAGGCAGGCCAACATTCAAATTCAGGAAATACAGAGAACACCACAAAGATACTCCTCGAGAAGAGCAGCTCCAAGACACATAATTGTCAGATTCACCAAAGTTGAAATGAAGGAAAAAATGTTAAGGGCAGCCAGAGAGAAAGGCCGGGTTACCCACAAAGGGAAGCCGATCAGATTAACAGCTGATCTCTCGGCAGAAACTCTACAAGCCAGAAGAGAGTGGGGGCCAATATTCAACATTCTTAAAGAAAAGAATTTTCAACCCAGAATTTCATATCCAGCCAAACTAAGCTTCATAAGTGAAGGAGAAACAAAATCCTTTACCCACAAGCAAATGCTGAGAGATTTTGTCACCACCAGACCTGCCCTAAAAGAGCTCCTGAAGGAAGCATTAAACATGGAAAGGAACAACTGGTACCACCCATGGCAAAAGCATGCCAAATTGTAAGATCATCAAGGCTAGGAAGAAACTGCATCAACTAATGAGCAAAATAACCAGCTAACATAATAATGACAGGACCAAATTCACACATAACAATATTAATGTTAAATGTAAATGGGTTAAATGCTCCAATTAAAAGACACAGAGTGGCAAATTGGATAAAGAGTCAAGACCCATCGGTGTGCTGTACACAGAAAACCCATCTCACATGCAGAGACTCACATAGGCTCACAATAAAGGGATGGAGAAAGATCTACCAAGCAAATGGAAAACAAAAAAAGGCAGAGGTTGCAATCCTACTCTATGATAAAACAGACTTTAAACCAACAAAGAACAAAAGGGACAAAGAAGGCCATTACATAAAGGTAAAGGGATCAATTCAACAAGAACAGCTAACTATCCTAAATATATATGCACCCAATAACGGAGCACCCAGATTAATAAAGCAAGTGCTTAGAGACCTACAAAGAGACTTAGACTCCCACACAATAATAATGGGAGACATTAACACCCCACTGTCAACATTAGACAGATCAACGAGAGAGAAAGTTAACAAGGATATCCAGGAATTGAACTCAGTTCTGCACCAAGCAGACCTAATAGACATCTGCAGAAGTCTCCACCCCAAATCAACAGAATATACATTCTTTTCGCCACACCACACCTATTCCAAAATTGACCACATAGTTGGAAGTAAAGCACACCTCAGCAAATGTAAAAGAACAGAAATTATAACAAGCTGTCTCTCAGACCATAGCACAATCAAACTAGAACTCAGGATTAAGAAACTCACTCAAAACATGGAATTTTTGCATTCCATGGAAACAATGGAAACTCAATTACATGGAAACAAAAAACCCTTCAAAAAATCAATGAATTTAGGAGCAGGTTTTTTAAAAGATCAACAAAATTGGTAGACTGTTAGCAAGACTAATAAAGAATAAAAGAGAGAAGAATCCAACACACGCAATAAAAAATGATGAAGGGGATATCATCACCGATCCCACAGAAATACAAACTACCATCAGAGAATACTATAAACACCTGTACAAAAATAAACTAGAAAATCTGGAAGAAATGGATAAATTCCTCGACAAATACACTCTCCCAAGATTAAACAAGGAAGAAGTTGAATCTCTGAATAGACCAATAACAGGCTCTGAAATTGAGGCAATAATTAATAGCTTACCAACCAAAAAAAGTCCAGAACCACACGGATTCACAGCCGAATTCTACCAGAGGTACAAGGAGGAGCTGGTACCATTCCTTCTGAAACTATTCCAATCAATAGAAAAAGGGAATACTCCCTAACTCATTTTATGAGGCCAGCATCATCCTGATACCAAAGCCGGGCAGAGACACAACAAAAAAAGAGAATTTTAGACCAATATCCCTGATGAACATCAATGCAAAAATCCTCAATAAAATACTGGCAAACCGAATCCAGCAGCACATCAAAAAGCTTATCCACCATGATCAAGTGGGCTTCATCCCTGGGATGCAAGGCTGGTACAACATAGGCAAATCAATAAATGTAATCCAGCATATAAACAGAATCAATGACAAGAACCACATGATTATCTCAATAGATACAGAAAAGGCCTTTGAGAAAATTCAACAGCTCTTCATGCTAAAAACTCTCAATAAATTAGGTATTGATGGGACGTATCTCAAAATAATAAGATCTATTTATGACAAACCCACAGCCAATATCATACTGAATGGACAAAAACTGGAAGTAATCCCTTTGAAAACTGGCACAAGTCAGGGATGCCCTCTCTCACCACTCCTATTCAACACAGTGTTGGAAGTTCTGGCCAGGGCAGTCAGGCAAGAGAAAGAAATAAAGGGTATTCAATAAGGAAAAGAGGAAGTCAAATTGTCCCTGTTTGCAGATGACATGATTGTATATCTAGAAAACCCCATCATCTCAGCCCAAAATCTCCTTAAGCTGATAAGCAACTTCAGCAAAGTCTCAGGATACAAAATCAATGTGCAAAAATCACAAGCATTCTTATACACCAATAACAGACAAACAGAGAGCCAAATCATGAGTGAACTCCCATTCATAATTGCTTCAAAGAGAATAAAATACCTAGGAATCCAACTTACAAGGGATGTGAATGACCTCTTCAAGGACAACTAGAGACCACTGTTCAATGAAATAAAAGAGGATACAAACAAATGGAAGAACATTCCATGCTCATGGGTAGGAAGAATCAATATCGTGAAAATGGCCATACTGCCCAAGGTAATTTATAGATTCAATACCATCCCCATCAAGCTACCAATGACTTTCTTCACAGATTTGGAAAAAACTACTTTAAAGTTCATATGGAACCAAAAAAGAGCCCGCATTGTCAAGTCAATCCTAAGCCAAAAGAACAAAGCTACCTGACTTCAAACTATACTAGAAGGCTACAGTAACCAAAACAGCATGGTACTGGTACCAAAACAGAGATGTAGACCAATGGAACAGAACAGAGCCCTCAGAAATAAGGCCACATATCTACAACTATCTGATCTTTGACAAACCTGACAAAAACAAGAAATGGGGAAAGGATTCACTATTTAATAAGTGGTGCTGGGAAAACTGGCTAGCCATATGTAGAAAGCTGAAACTGGATCCCTTCCTTACACCTTATACAAAAATTAATTCAAGATGGATTCAAGACTTACATGTTAGACTTAAAACCATAAAAACCCTAGAAGAAAACCTAGGCAATACTATTCAGGACATAGGCATGGGCAAGGACTTCTTGTCTCATACACCAAAAGCAATGGCAACAAAAGCCAAAATGACAAATGGGATCTAGTTAAACTAAAGAGCTTCTGCACAGCAAAAGAAACTACCATCAGAGTGAACAAGCAACCTACAGAATGGGAGAAAATTTTTGCAACCCTCTTGTCTGACAAAGGGCTAATATCCAGGATCTACAGAGAACTCAAACAAATTTACAAGATAAAAAACAAACAACCCCATCAAAAAGTGGGCAAAAGATATGAACAGACACTGCTCAAAAGAAGACATTTATGCAGCCAAAAAACACATGAAAAAATGCTCATCATCACTGGCCATCAGAGAAATGCAAATCAAAACCACAATGAGATACCATCTCACACCAGTTAGAATGGCGATCATTAAAAAGTCAGGAAACAAAAGGTGCTGGAGAGGATGTGGAGAAATAGGAACACTTTTACACTGTTGGTGGGACTGTAAACTAGTTCAACCATTGTGGAAGTCGGTGTGGTGATTCCTCAGGGATCTAGAACTAGAAATACCATTTGACCCAGCCATCCCATTACTGGGTATATACCCAAAGGATTATAAACCATGCTGCTGTAAAGACACATGCACACATATGTTTATTGTGGCACTATTCACAATAGCAACGACTTGGAACCAAGCCAAATGTCCAACAATGATAGACTGGATTAAGAAAATGTGGCACATATACACCATGGAATACTATGCAGCCATAAAAAATGATGAGTTCATGTCCTTTGTAGGGACATGGATGAAGCTGGAAACCATCACTCTCAGCAAACTATCTCAAGGACAAAAAACCAAACACCGCATGTTCTCACTCATAGGTGGGAATTGAACAATGAGAACACATGGTCACAGGAAGGGGAACATCACACTGGGGCCTGTTGTGGGGTGGCAGAGTGGGGAGGGATAGCATTAGGAGATATACCTAATGTAAATGACGAGTTCATGGATGCAGCACACCAACATGACACATGTATACATATGTAACAGACCTGCACATAGTGCACATGTACCCTAAAACTTAAAGTATAATAAAAATAAATAAATAAATAAATAAATAAAAGTTGAAATTTTTTTTAAAAGAAGGCATTTCATATGGTATCATTTTAAAATCCTCAATGGTCATAACTAAATAAAAAAATTTAAGATAAACTTGCCTTTTAAACTAAACCAGACCCTTGCAACAGAAGAAAAAAGAATATCTAATACCTACATAAATTGAAAACTATCTCATGTTCAGGGATTGGAAGACTTAATATCGTTAAGATGGCAGTACTCCTCAAAGTGATCTAAAAACTCAGGCAATCCCTACCACAATACCAATGGTCTTTTTTCCAGAAATGGGAAAGTTGATTGTTCAATTAATATGCAACTACATGGTGATGAAGCAGCTACGTTGTCTGGGATATACACCCTCAGGTTTGTCATCATGCCCCAGAAAAATTTAGGACACGGACACATCTGAGTGGGTTATGTAGCAGAAAGTTTAATAGAAGAAAGGAGAGAAAAAAGCAGCTTCTTGTGAAAGAGAGGGACATCGGAAAAGGGGGAAGGAGGTGGACCACAGCAGATTGCATAGGGAGGCTGGAGGAAGCAGTGTCTGATTTACGTATGGCCCAGAGATTGGTTTAATCAGGTGTGACATTTACATAGTGGGTGGGGAAGGAGCCGCCATTTTGAACTTGCCTGGTCACAGGTAGTTCTTTACTACCAGCTTTCACTCGTGCAAGTTTCCAGCTTCCTTGTGTATGTCTGCAGCTCGATTTTACAAGCTGCTCTTTGTTAGAAAATGATTTGGGGCTGCTTTCCAGTATAAAGAAAAACCTTACTGAGGACTCCCAAATGCTTACTATTTGCCTAAGTAATTTCTACTTAATTTCTGTATCAGTGAGTACTCAGTTTCCAACTTCAAACTTACTACAAACTGTAATAATCAAAACAGTGTGGTACTAGCATAAAGATAGACATCAAGACAAATGGAATAAAACTGAAATCACGAAATAAACCTAAAGATCTATGGCAAATTTACTTTCATCAAGGGTGCCTAGACCATTCAATCTGAGGAAAGAGTCTCTTCAACAAATGGTGATGAGACAACAGGACAGCGAAATGCAGAAGAATGAAGCTGAGATCTCCCTTACTTCACTCCAAATGAAAAATATAACTGAAAATGGATGGAAAAACTTAAATATAAGAGCTAAAACGATAAAACTCTTAGAATAAAATGTAGGGGTAAATCTTCATGACTTCATATTTGGCAATAGATTTATAAATTTGATACCAGAGTGGCAAAAGGAAAGATAGATAAACCAAACTTCATCAAAATTAAACTTTGTGCAGCAAGAATATAATTGAGAATGTGAAATGACAACCAACAGAATGGGAGGAAATATCTTCATATTATGTATATGTAGGAGTTTAATGTTTTGAATACATAAATCATTCTAACAGCTTAAAAAGAAAAATAAAGTCAACTTAATTTAAACAGAAAATGTACTTGAATGGCATTTATCCAAAGAAGATATACAAATGGGTAATAATATATTAAAAGAAGTTCAAAATCATTGGCCATTAAACACAAGTTAAAACCACAATGAGAGCTGGGCGCAGTGGCTCACACCTGTAATCCCAGCACTTAGGGAGGCCAAGATGGGCAGATCACCTGAGGTCAAGAGTTCGAGACCAGCCTGGCCAAAGTGGAGAAAACCCGTCTCTACCAAAAATATAACAATTAACCAGGTATGGTGACACATGCCTGTAATCCCAGCTACTCTGGGGGCTGAGGCAGGAGGATTGTGTAAACCCAGGAGGTGGAAGTTGCAGGGAGCTGAGATCATGCCACTGCACTCCAGCCTGGGTGACAGAGTAAGACTCTGTCTCTAAATAAATGAATAAATAAATAAAACCACAATGAGATAACACTCTATATTCACTAGGATGGCTTCAATAAATACAGAAAGTTACAAGTATTAGCAACTATGTGGAAAATAGAAATCCTTCTACATTGCTGGAAGGAATATAAAATGCCACATTCACTGTAGAAAAGATTGGCTCTTATATACAAGAAGATAAGCATAAAATTACCATTTGACCCAGCAATTCAACTCCTGAGAATATACCCAAGAATGATGAAAATATGCCCATAAAGAAACATACACAAATGATCAAAGCAAGATTATCTATAAGAGCCAAAGGTTGGAAACAATGCAAATGTCCATAAACAGATGAATAACAAATTGTGATATATGTGCATGGAAAAATAAAATATATTTCAGCGACAAAAAAGAATGAAGTACTGATACATGTTGCAACTTAGATGAGCCTCTAAAACATTATAAGTGAAAGGACTCAGACATAACAGGTTACATATGCTGTGAGTCCTTTATATATCCATAACAGGCAAATCCATAGAAACAGAAAGAAGATTAGAGGTAATTACATGATGGGTTGGAGGAATGGAGTGATTATTTAATGAATATGATATGTTTTTGTGAAGTAATAAAAACATTTTGAAACCAGAGAAAGCTGGTGGTTGTACAACATTGTGAATACACTAAATACCACTCAAGTCTACACTTTAAAATGGTTAATTGTATATTGTGTGAATTTCACTTCAATTTTAAAAATGGCATAATTCCCTGATCTACTGATTTAATGCAATCGTGTCAAAATCCCCATTGGCTCCTTTGAGAAAATTGACAAGTGTATTCTAAATTTCATATGAAGATTCAAGGGACCCAGAATAGTGAAAACGTATTGAAAAAGAACAACAAAGACTCACACTCCTTGATTTGATATAATAACTTGATATTAATACAATACTACAGTAATTAAGATGGTGCACTATAGGGATTACGACAGACATATAGATCAATGGAGTACAATTGAGAGCACACAGAAAAAAACCTTTCACACATTTATAGTCAATTGGATTTTGACAAGGTTGCCAAGGCAATTCAATAGGGGAAAAAATAGCGTTTTCAACAATGGTGCGATGACAACGGCATTGATGTTTACGCCTTATCTGATAGACACTAAATTCCAACTGTTATCTGTACAAATCATTTTTGTTCTCACTCAATAAAGGCTTCCTTTCCCTCTTCCATCCACCTACTCTTTCCCATCACCCACCTCTGCACCTCCATGTAGAGCATTCCAACCTATCTGAAACCCCTCCTCTGACTCTCACTGCAAATATTTTATGGCCTATTTCAATTTGCAGGAATGCAGGAAACCCACCTAGGTTAAGTCATTCTTTCCCATTCTCAAATAAACTGTGTGCAATAATGACACCCATCTTCATCACAGGGCATATTTTATGTTTTCATATTTGTCAGTAATTGATTCCATTTCACCTGGAATGTGCATTCTGTTTCTCCTTGGGTAGATTTATATATTTATACTTTAAGTTCTGGGATACATGTGCAGAACATGCAGGTTTTTTACGTAGGTATACACGCGCCATGGTGGTTTGCTGCACCCATCAACCTGTCATCCACATTAGGTATTTCTTCTAATGCTATCCCTCCCCAAGTCCCCCACCCCCTGACAGGCCCCGGTGTTGATGTTCCCCTCCATGTGTCCATGTGTTCTCATTGTTCAACTCCCATTAATGAGTTAGAACATACAATGTTTGGTTTTCTGTTCCTGTGTTAGTTTGCTGAGGATGATGGTTTCCAGCTTCACCCATATCCCTGCAGAGGACATGAACTCATCCTTTTTTATGGCAGCACTGTATTCCATGGTGTATATGTGCCACATTTTCTTTATCCAGACTGTCATTCATCAGCATTTGGGTTGGTCCCAAGTCTTTGCTATTGTGAATAGTACTGCAATAAACATACGTGCACATGTGTCTTTATAGTAGAATGATTTATAATCCTTTGGGTATATACCCAGTAACAGGATTACTGGGTCAAATGGTATTTCTTGTTCCAGATCCTTGAGGAATCAGCACACTGTCTTCCATAATGGTTGAACTAATTTACACTCCCACTAACGGTGTAAAAGCATTCCTATTTCTCCACATCTTCTCCAGCATCTGTTGTTTCCTGACTTTTTAATGATCACCATTCTAACTGGCATGAGATGGTACCTCATTGGGACTTTGATTTGCATTTCTCCAATGTCCCAGTGATTATGAACTTTTTGTTCTTTTTGCTTAGATTTTCTTGGCTATGTGGGCTCTTCTTTCGTTCCATATAAAATGTAAAGTAGATTTTTCTAGTTCTGTGAAGAAAGGCAATGATAGCTTGATGGGGATAGAATTGAATCTATAAATTACTTTGGGCAGTGGCCATTTTCATGATATTGATTCTTCCTATCCATGAGCATGGAATGTTTTTCCATTTGTTTGTGTCCTAGGTATTATATTCTCTTTGTAGCAATTGTGAGTGGGAGTTCACTCATTATTTGGCTGTCTGTCTATTATTGGTGTATAGAAATGGTTGTGATTTTTGCACATTGATTTTATAACCTGAGACTATACTGAAGTTGCTTATCAACTTGAGATTTTGGGCTGAGACAAAGGGGTTTTCTAAATATACAATCATGTCATCTGCGAATAGAGACAGTTTGACTTTCTCTCTTCCTATTTCAATACTTCATTTCTTTCTCTTGCCTGACTGCCCTGGCCAGAGCTTCCAATACTATGTTGAATAGGAGTGGTGAGAGAGGGCATCCTTGTCTTGTGCTGGTTTTCAAAGGGAATCCTTCCAGCTTCTGCCCATTCAATATGATATTGGCTGTGGGTTTGTCATAAACAGCTCTTACTATTTTGAGATATGTTCCATCATTACTTAGTTTATTGAGAATTCTTAGCATGAAGGGTATTGAACTTTATCAAAGGCCTTTTCTGCATCTATTGAGACAATCATGTGGTTTTTGTCATTGGTTCTTTTTATGTGATGGATTACATTTATTGATTTGCAAATATTGAAACAGCCTTGCATCTCAGGGATGAAGGCTACTTGATCATGGTGGATAAGCTTTTTGATGTGCTGCTGGATTTGGTTTGGCAGTATTTTGTTGTGGATTTTTGCATTGGTGTTCATCAGGGATATTGGCCTGAAATGTTCTTTTTCTGTTATGTCTCTGCCCGGTTTGGGTATCAGGATGATGCTAGCCTCATAAAATGAGTTAAGGAGGAGTCCCTCTTTTTCTATTATTTGGAATAGTTTCAGAAGGAATAGTGTCAGCTCCTCTTTGTGCCCCTGGTAGAATTTGGCTGTGAATCCATCTGGTCCTGGACTTTTTTTGGTTGTTAGGCTATTAACTACCGCCTCAACTTCAGAACTTGTTATTGGTCTATTCAGGGATTTGACTTCTTCCTTGTTTAGTCTTGGGAGAGTGTATGTGTCCATGAATTTATCCATTTCTTCTAGATTTTCTAGTTTATTAGCATAGAGGTGTTTATACTATTCTCTGATGGTAGTTTATATTTCTGTGGGCTCAGTGGTGATCTCCCCTTTATCATTTTTATTGTGTCTATTTGATTCTTCTCTTTTTTCTTCTTTATTAGTCTAGCTAGTGGTCTATTTTGTTATTCATTCATACAATAAAAACTTAAAGTGCTTCTCAAGCATTACTGATTGACCAGTTAAACATCCTTAGTAAACACAGAACTAGTCAACAAATCACAAATTCACAAGCAGTCACATAACTAAGCTTTTGTTTACATTTTACCTTCTCCATTTTCATCAGGAAGCAATCAATAAAGTCCTGAGGGTTGTTCATGTCCATTGATTCTTGGTGTTCTTTTACTTTTTCCAAAATATAACTTTTCATAAAAGCAACGTTTTTAAGTAATTTGTTGTGAGTTCCCGGGAAGTAATCAATGATAGGAGAAAAATTATTGCAGATCTAAGAGAAAACAATAATTTATTAAATTAAAAGATTTTAATAAAAGCATACATACCATATACCAAGCTCTGGTTGTAAATTACAGCTATAAATATAAATAAAATATATTGTATATCTTGATGGGGAAATTTTTATTGTACATATGTAGTAATTCTCTGATTATAAAAGATTTGAGAAAGAAAATTCTGACCAGAGGATCAATTCTAACCAGATGATAATCATTTCCTAGACTCAGACCTCCTTTTTATAGTATAAAAGCATCTTTATGTTAATTCTGTTACTTTTTACAATTCTTCTCTATAATCTTGAAATATAAGATGGCATGAATTACTACATTCACGTTTTGTAGATGACAGCATAGGTTAAAAGAATTTGGACAACCTGATTGATAGTACAAAGCTAGTCCCTACTATATTGATTTCTATCAAGCAGCCTCTGAAATGGAATTAGTATTTTAGAAGTGGGAGGGGCTCAAAGATACTTCAAATTCCAACTGTGCACCAGAGCAGTTAAATGACTTCTATAAAATCACACAATTATTATTTAGGCAGAGAATAAAACATGCCAGCTCAGCACAGGGTATAAGTGTGATGTCTGTTTATGGTTCATACACCATAAAACCAATAATTTTGTCATTCCTAACCCAGCTATCTCATCAGCTAGGATCCCAACTGAGATATCAAACACCCCTGCCCTATTCAGTGTTTCTTGGCAGCTTCTATGGTCCCAAATATTCTCCCTACTAGAAGGAGATAATGTCTTTTAAATTAGGATATTTCTGCCACATAATACGACAAAGTGTTAATTGAAGGACAAGTCTTGTGAGTAATGGGAGCCTCCAAAGTGCCTGGATATCCATGGAGTGCTATGAGCACGCTTTAGGGCTGTCAACAAAGTACTTTACAGAAACAGGGCTTTGGAGTTTAGCAGAAAAAACATTGATGAGGGAGCTAATGGGCTTAGAAATCAGGCCTATATTGAGGCATTTATTTCCCATGCATAAAATAAAGGGCTTGGCCGTCTTTCCCAGATATTCACCCCAAGGCTGTCTGGGCAAGACTGTAGTATTCAAAAATGCACTTCAGAGCTTGATCCATGTAGAATTTTGGATTTGTCAGAAAAAAAAGAGAATAAGTGGTTTCTCAGGAAGCAAAAATCTTGGCCTTACCTGGATCCAGGGGCTGCTCAAAATCTTGATGTTTTCATTCAACTTTTCCATTAAGTTAAGAAATTGCTGATCTTTATAATCAAAACGTTTATGGAAAATAATGGAGCAGATCACATTGCAGGGAGCACAGCCCAGGATGAAAGTGGGATCACAGGGTGAGGCTAAATAATTAGAAACAATTTAAAATACTATTAAACTTTAGATATAAAACACTGTATTTGTTAACAGATAATAGTAGTTTAGAAATTATCTTACCTACAAATTCCCTTAACAGCAAAAAAGAGTTCGGCATGCATAAAATCAACACTTCACTTTTACATTAATCCTGAGTTGACCATTACAACCTAGCTGGTTAAATAATGGTTGTTCAAATGCTAAATTTACATTCCCAGCCTATTTGTCTTTTACTTTGGAAAGAACAAAAAGGCATTTTCTAAAAACCTAATAATTCATGTTTCAGAGGGAATCACATCAGTCTGCAAAGTCAGTAGACAGCAAGGCACTGAGATGGAAAGGGCAAGAATAGTTGGAGATTTCAAAGCTTTTTATATATAATGAATAGCTGAAAGAGTCATGTGTTGAACCAGTAGAGAGGAACCAAAGAGACTGTTGGTGAATTCATGTATTTAAGAAAATAAATGTAAGAGCAGAATGTGTTTTATGAGAAGGAAAACAAATATAAATGAATAATATGCCTAACATATTATTAGTTTGTTATGTTAACAAACTAATATCAAATTAACATAGATTAGTTTGTTAAAAAATTAAATGAAAACTTTGTTGTTGTTTTTTGTTGTTGTTGTTTTTTGTTTATTTGTTTGTTTTGAGATGGAGTTTCACTCTTGTTGCCTGGGCTGGAGTGTAATGGCACGATCTCAGCTCACCACAACCTCTGCTTCCTAGGTTCAAGTGATTCTCCACCTGAGCTTCCCAGGTAGCTGGGATTACAGGCATGTGCCACCACATCCAGCTAATTTTGTATATTTAGTAGAGACAGGTTCCTCCATGTTGGTCAGGCTGGTCTCGAACTCCCAACCTCAGATGATCCACCAGCCTTGGCCTCCCAAAGTTGTGGGATTACAGGCATGAGCCACCGCGCCTGGCCAAAAACTTTTATTTTAAATATAAATCCCAGGTAAGGCAAACAAGAAAGTGTAAATTGATAAGTGGAGTTTTTTTCTTCTGTACCTTTTTTAAAATGAATTTTCTTCTTTAGGAACTAAATGCCCTCATCTCTAATCATCCTGCAAATTTAACCTATTTAATTTGATATTGATTAGGCCCAGCGTATCATTTAATAGCTAAATGAATTAAATTATAGGAAAAGTTTTCTTGTTTGGTGGAGGATCTCTGAAATGAAGTTGTTATAATCAAGTGATCGATAAACTTTATATTTTTTAAATTTTCTTTTATTTTACTTTAAGTTCCAGGATACATGTGCAGAGCGTGCAGGTTTGTTACAGAGGTATACATGTGCCATGGTGGTTTGCTGCACCTATGAACCTGTCATCTAGGTTTTAAGCCCCACACGCATTAGGTATTTGTCCTAATGCTGTCCCCCTGCTGGCCCCCCGTGCCCCAACAGGTCCCATGTGTGATGTTCCCCTCCCTGTGTCCATGTGTTCTCATTGTTCAACTCCCATTTATGAGTGCAAACATGTGGAGTTTGGTTTTCTGTTCCTGTGTTAGTTGCTGAGGATGATGATTTCCAGCTTCATCCATGTTCCTGCAAAGGACATGAACTCATCCTTTTTTATGGCTGTGTAGTATTCCATGGTGTATATGTGCCACATTTTCTTTATCCAGTACATCATTGATGGGCATTTGGGTTGGTTCCAAGTCTTTGCTATTGTGAACGGTGCCACATAAACATACATGGGCGTGTGTCATTATAGTAGAATGGTTTATAATCCTTTGGGCATATACCCAGTAATGGGATTGCTGAGTCAAGTGGAATTTCTAGTTCTAGATCCTTAAGGAATCACCACACTGTCTTCCACAATGGTTGAACTAATTTACACTCCTACCAACAGTGTAAGAGGGTTCATATTTCTCAACATTCTCACCAACACCTGTTGTTTCCTGACTTAGTAAGGATCACCATTCTAACTGACATGAGATGGTATCTCATTGTAGTTTTGATTTGCATTCTCTAATGACCAGTGTTGATAAGCTTTTTTCCATATGTTTGTTGGCTGCATAAATGTCTTCTTTTGAGAAGCATCTGTTCATATCCTTTGTCCATTTTTGATGGGGATATTTCTTTTTTTCTTGTAAATTTAAGTTCTTTGTGGATTCTGGATATTAGCCCTTTGTCAGATGGATAGATTGCAAAAAATTTCTCCCATTCTGTAGGTTGCCTGTTGACTCTGATGCAGTTTCTTTGGCTGTGCAGAAGCACTGTAGTTTAATTAGATCCCATTTGTCAATTTTGGCTTTTGTTGCCATTGCTTTTTGTGTTTTAGTCACAAACTCTTGGCCCATGCCTATGTCCTGAATGGTATTGCCTAGGTTTTCTTCTGGGGTTTTTATGGTTTTTGGTTTTATGTTTAAGTGTTTAATCCATCTTGAGTTAATTTTTGTATAAGGTGTAAGGAAAGGGTCCAGTTTCTGTTTTCTGCATATGGCTAGCCAGTTTTCCCAGTACCATGCTGTTTGGTTACTGTAGCCTTGTAGTATTGTTTGAAGTCAGGTAGAATGATGCCTCCAGCTTTGTTTTTGCTTAGGATTGTCTTGGCTATACAGGCTCTTTTTTTGCTTCATATGAAATTTAAATTATTCTTTTCTAGTTCTGTGAAGAAAGTCAATGATAGTTTGACGGGTATAGCATTGAATCTATGAATTACTTTGGGCAGTATGGCTATTTTCACAGTATTGATTCTTTCTATTCATGAGCACGGAATTTTTTTCCATTTGTGTCACCTCTTATTTCCTTGAGAAGTGGTTTGTAGTTCTCCTTGAAGAGGTCCTTCACATCGCTTGTAAGTTGTGTAAGTAGGCATTTTATTCCCTTTGTAGCAATTGTGAATGGGAGTCCACTCATGATTTGGCTCTCTGCTTGTCTATTATTGGTTTATAGGAATGCTTGTTATTTTTGCACATTGATTTTGTATCCTGAGGTCTTGCTGAAATTGCTTATCAGCTTAAACAGTTTTGGGGCTGAGATGATGGGGTTTCTAAGTATACAGTCATGTCACCTGCAAACAGAGACAATTTGACTTCTTCTCTTCCCATTTGAATACCCCCTTGACTGATTGCTCTGGCCAGGACTTCCAATACTATGTTGAATAAGAGTGGTGAGAGAGGGCATCCTTGTCTTGTGCTGGTTTTCAAAGGGAATGCTTCCAGCTTTTGCCCATTCAATATGATATTGGCTATGGGTTTGTCATAAATAGCTCTTATTATTTTGAGATATTAAACTTTATAGTTAAAGAGCTCCCAAATTCACATCTATATGTTTCAGGAAGTCAGGGACCCCGAACGGAGGGACCAGCTGAAGCCATGGCAGAAGAAGATAAATTGTGAAGATTTCACAGACATTTATTAGTTCCCCAAATTCATTCTTTTATAATTTCTTACACCTGTCTTTACTGCAATCTCTGAACATAAATTGTGAAAATTTCATGGACACTTACCACTTCCCCAATCAATACTCTTGTGATTTCCTATGCCTGTCTTTACTTTAATCTCTTAATACCATCATCTTCCTAAGCTGAGGACGAATGTCACCTCAGGACCCTGTGATGATTGTGTTAACTGCACAAATTGTTTAAACAATATGAAATCTGCACCTTGAAAAAAAAAACAGGATAACAGCGATGTTCAGGGAACAAGTGAGATAACCTTGAAGTCTGGCTGCCTGTGGGCTGAGCAGAACAGAGCCATATTTCACTTCTTTCAAAAGCAAGTAGGAGAAATATCACTGAATTCTTTTTCTCAGCAAGGAACATCCCTGAGAAGAATGCATTCCCAAGGGGTGGTCTCTAAAATGGCTGTTTTGAGAACGTCTGTCTTTTACAGTTGTAGATAAGGGATGAAATAAGGCCTGGTCTCCCATAGTGCTCCCAGGCTTATTAGGAAGAGGAAATTCCTGCCTAATAAATTTTGGTCAGACTGGTTGTCTTCTCTCAAACCCTGTCTCCTGATGAGATGTTATCAATGACAATGAGTGCCTGAAACTTCATTAGCAATTTTAATTTCACTCCGGTCCTGTGATCTCACCCTGCCTCCATTTGCCTTGTGATATTTTATTACCTTGTGAAGCATGTGATCTCTGTGACTCACACCCTATTCACACATTCCTTCCGCTTTTGAAAATCACTAATGAAAACTTGCTGGTTTTGTGGTTTAGGGGGCATCACGGAACCTGCCGACATGTGATGTCTCCCCTGGACACCCAGCTTTAAAATTTCTCTCTTTTGTACTCTTTCCCTTTATTTCTCAGACCAGCCAACACTTAGGGAGAATAGAAAAGGACTCACATTGAAATATCAGGGGCTGAATTTCCCCTGATATCTATAGGCCCTAAATAGTGACTTTAATCAAAAGTACTCTGAATGAATGGCCAGGCATTGAACAGTTGGAAATCTGTTAGTTTGTGTGTGTCATTCACAGATAAATCTGATTTTCAGTCTTTAACTTCATTGGGAAAACAGAATTTAAAAACAAGGTAATTTGGTATCCAAGCTGATAAACAGATTCATTGTAAAACTTCATAGATGAGTAGAGTTGGCCATGGAAAAAAAATAATTAACATAAATTTCTAAGCCAAAATTTCATAAATATGGTTGGAAAGAGATAAGCAAAACTGAAACAGAGCCAAATCATACATAGGGAATGCAGATTACAGAGTTATTACTAATAAGTAAAATCTTGTTAAATAAATCATTTTATAAATTGACATTTGGGTATTTCACAGAATTATGCTACAGGATGTATTTACTGAAAATATATAAATCAATACAGTAACAAGAAATAATTAATACTATTTTTAAAATAATGCTGTGTTTACAGAGAAATAATAATTGATGAGAACTGCACTAAGATATGCCTAAGCAATAAAAACTGTAGAATGTCATTACTGGCCAGAATGGCAAGCACGGGCCTAAAAGAAACCCCAGAGAAGTCAGTGAGGCTGACCATACAAACACAGTCCAATTAAATAAAAGCACATGCCATTTGGTTCATGCTCCATATGGGTATGATAGGGCCATTCCCACCATGTTGACTTGTCAAGTATTCTCTGGTGACATGTTCTGGAATAGGTAATGGGAAAAACACTGCTCTTTAACTCTTTCAAAAAATGAACTCAAAATCTATATTCATCATTTCTTATTTGAAAGCAAAAAAGCAAAGTTCAGGAGAACATGGGATTAAATGAACCTTTTATACCCACACTGTACGCACAATCATGCCTGTACACACACAGCACAAATATGTGCAAATTCCCTTGGCTCTCAGCTTCAAACCCCCGCTTCACATGAGCTAACAACCAGGACTCATAATGAAAGATATGGCCACCCCTGAAATGTTTCCAAGAATGTCAGTAGAGAAGATAGTAGTCCAGTAAGGTCAGTGATATGGAGTAGGGTCACCCACCCTTGGTTTTTCTCAACTCCTCCACAAGGCAGCGGGCTTCCTCTTGAACACGGTCCTCAATGCTCCTCTTCCCCATCCCAAAATTCCGCAGCGTCATGAGGGAGAAACGCCGGATCTCCTTCCATTTCTTTCCATTGCTGAAAACAATTCCTAACAGGAAGAGAAACGAAACTAGGAGGGAGATCCCAGGCAAGAAAGAGGAAGCTGACACTGGGCAGCCATGTGGATGGGCCAAGCTCTGCCCGAGGAGCTCTGTAAGTCTCTGTTTTCCATCCTCCCCATCCCCAAGACAGATGCTGAAACAGGCACATGCACACCTACCAAATCCTCTGTTAGCTCTTTCAGCCAGTGGGAAAATGCCTCTTCCAGAAAACTCCTCTCCAAGATCAATCAGGGCTTCCTTCACTGCTTCATATCCATGCAGCACCACTATGGGTTTCAGGCCAAAATACAGAGTGAACACAGGGCCATAGACCTTTGAGAGCTAGGAAAGTAGACAGAGATAACAGCAAACGAAGTTACTATTTTGTCCATTTGCTAAGCCTGATTTAGCATGATATTTTCATTGTATTTGTATGCTTTTATTCAGCCACACAGGCTTCAAATATTTCTGAATTTTAAATAGAAACATGATGATGATTATACTTGCCACTCAGATGGCCTGTGATGTTCAAGGCAATGGTCAGACAATTGCTATGCAGATTACAATTAATACTCACATCAACATATTCAGCAGGTCTATTTACTCTATTTTAAACAAACGGCCAGGTGTGGTGGCTCCTGCCTGTAATCCCAACACTTTGGGAGGCCAAGGCAGGTGGATCACAAGGTCAGGAGTTCAAGACCAGCCTGGCCAACAAGGTGATACCACGTCTCTACTAAAAATACAAAAATTAGCTGAGCATGGTGGTGCATGCCTGTAATGCTAGCTACTTGGGGGACTGAGGCAGGAGAATTTCTTGAATGGGGACCTGGGAGATGGAGGTTGCAGTGAGCCAAGATTGTACCACTGCACTCCAGCCTGAGCTACAGAGTAAGACTCTGTCTCAAAAAAAAAAAAAAAAAAAAAAAAAACTGAGCTCAGAGAATGACAAATTCATTTTCAGTGTCTCACAGCTAATGTACAGCAGACCAAAATTTGAAACTCCGCTTATTCAAACACTGATGCTTGAGAAATTTATCAGCACTTTCGAGTCTACCTTAAGACCAATACCCAGCTTCAAGAACTAACAATTTCCTGGTTTAATAGCCTTTTATGATTAGCATGCATCATAGCATTTATACTAAAAATATCTCTCTATGGACTCCACCTAGGACTCCCAAAAGCCCACATAGAGGCCGCAATTGCCAGGTCAATAGTCCTCACAGCAGTACTCCTAAAATTAGATGGCTATAGGATTATACAAATCACCTTAATTCTTAACCCCCTAACAGAGTTTATAGCTTATTCCTCCTTCTTACTATCCTTTTGAGAAATAATCATAACAAGCTCCTTTTGTCTGTGCCAAACTGATCTAAAATCACTCATTACTTTTCCATAAGCCACATGGCACTTGTTATCGTAGCTTTTCTCATTCAAACCCCCTGAAGTTTTACCAGTGCAACTTCCCTAATAACTGCCCACAGACTAACCTCATCCCTATTATTCTGCCTTGCAAACTCAAACTACAAACGAGTTCACAGCCAAACCATACTACTAACACAAGGCCTTCAAACACTTCTCTCCCTGATAGCCATGTGATGACTCCTAGCTAGTCTTGCCAACCTTGCCCTGCCCCCTACCATCAATCTAGTAGGAGTAGTCTTCATAACTACAGCGTCATTCTCTTGATCTAATCATACCATCATGCTTATAAGACTTAATATACTAATTGCAGCCCTTTACTCTCTGTATATGGTAATTATTACACAACGAGGGGTGTTCACATATCATATTAACACTGCTAAACCATCTTTCACTTGAGAAAAAACCCTAATACTTATACATCTTCTGACCTTCTTCCTACCATTACTAAATGCTAAGGTCATTTTGGGGTTTATATATTGTAGCTATAGTATAATTAAAACAGTACTTTGTGGATCTAAAAATGGAAGTCTATAACTTCTTTTCTACCACTTATCTGCTTTTGCTGGTCCTGAACCCACAGTTATTTCCTTTACAACAGGCATAAATTAATTCTTCAGAGAAGTTTAATTTTCATGGCTATTCTGAATAAAACACATGGCTAATATAGTAGAGGACTTATTTAATAAAATCTCTAATAACAAACATGTTCCTTACTGTAGGGAGACCCCCCCTGAAACTATTGCTACGGAATAAAAGATGAAATGCTCCCGATTATTGTAAATACAAAATTGCATGCAGGATTGTGTAAGGACAGTGCCAGGCTGGACTGCCAGAATGAGCCAACAGCGCGTGATGTGCTTCCCCCTGCAGAGAGCCTATGAATGGACGTGCAGTCAGAGAGGTTTCACATCACCAAGATTCCTATCCCAGAAAAGCAGATGTTCATAGCTCTGGGAATGGAATGCGACCTTTGTGGAGAACCTATAAATGGACGCATGGGGGGCACCTGTCCATATGGATAAGATAGGGCTATAAATGCCCTCATCTTGCCATGGCTCTTCTAGGCCTCTTTAGGGTTAAGGCATACTCCCTTCTGAGAATTTCTGGTCTAACTGGTTGTCTAGCTTCACATCCTATTTCCATGGATTGTTTGTAACCAGCTTTTGTTGCAATTGTTACTGCTGATTAATATCTTGCTAATCATAGGTTATGGAAAGATTGTGTTTCTGTTTTAAGGCTCTGTTAGAAATTACTGACGCACACACTATATTGTAAATTCTTATCTCCGTATACTGTACTTCTACATACAAATGTACTGTACTTCTACATACAAATGTTATGTTAAAGAATTACTTCATCCCCATGTGACCATCTCACCTCATAATCAAATGACCCTAAATCCCTCACTAACCTACCCCTGCCCTCACTAAACTTAATAATAAATGCTGGTATATCCAGTGCATTCTTGGCACCATGGGACCAGAAGGCGGTGACCCCCCTGGACCCAGCTTTCACTATCTTGTGTGTCTATTATTTCTCAACCTGCCGATCCACCTGGGAAAAAAGAGAGAGCCCAGTTGCTTTGTGGGCTGCTGACCAGATCCCACAATACCTTACCATTTACCTTCAGCCAAAAATTATAGCAAATGGTTATGAAATGAAGAAGGAACACAGCTTTTCAAACTATTGACACTTGTTATTTTGAATCTAACATGCAAAGACCCAAATCTTTCTCTACTCACAAAATACATGGTTTCATTCCACTATTTCTGACACTGACAGACTGGAAAAGGCAACAAAAGCCTTTCAAAGTATTTTACTTTACCATTACCTCTTGTAACATGTACCTCTAGGGATACACTTTATTTAAAAAATACAGGTGAATTTACTTACCTTTTGCAAGCCACTGAAGGAGCATACTTACATTGGTTAAGGATTTGCTGATGTCCTTAATACCTATCTGTAGGATATTTCCAATCACTGGGAGAGGAGTGGGGCCAGGAGGGAGTTTTCCTCTCCCAGAGCTCTGTCTCCAGAGTGAAAGGAGAAGCAAACATGAGAGACAGAGCACAAGGACCACAAGAGAATCCATTGAAGCCTTCTCTTCTTGTTAAGACAACCATGAGCTTGCACTCCAAGCCTTTTATAACACTCCATGCTAATTCGGTGTGTGCCTCTTTGATGGATAAATTGACCAATCACCTAGGTCCACTATATGCTCCTTCTGAAAGGACTTTGACCCACTGATACAGATAAAAATAAAATGTCCTTTGGTCTTGTTCTCCTTCGTTCCATTGTCCACTCTGTACATTCCAGTTTCACTGTACTTGGTTGGAGCCTAGGTATTGGTAATAAAAAACAAATGTTAACCCAGATGGTTCTAATGCACCATCATAATTGAGAGCACTGAAGTAAATAATCTGATGCAAAAGCAATTACTCAAAATTCTGAATTCTTAGATTAATAACCAGTTGGGAATATATGATTTAACAGAAATGGCCATATTCTATGCCTTGTATATTTAAAAAGTATGTCAATGCTATATCAAAGATTAGGAGACTTTGTTCTTTATAATGAAATCCTTTCAAATATTTAATATAGCCTACTAAAAATACAGCAGCCTAAACATGAAATAGCTAACATAACTCATATATCTTAAATAACCAAACATATATCAAGTAAATTACCTTAGCAGATATAAACACCTTTACCATTAAACCCCCTAAAAAAAATTCCTGAAGGCAGGAATTGTTATTTTTTATTTTTCAAATGGGAAAAGGGAGACCCTGGGAGAACAGGACACCTGTTGGTGCCACACAGCTCATAGCTGGCAGAACTGGGATTTGAGCTGAGGTCTTCTGATGCCCATCGTGGTGTATTATCTCTTACACCAGAGCTGCCTTGAGAACAATTTTAGCAAAATAAAACAAACTTCCAAACATTAGTTATTCTGAATATACACCACATTTATTCTGTTCATAAAACAGGCTTCACATTAAATAGAACCCCTTATTTGTCTCTAAGGGAAACAGCACCAGAGATGCTCATGAGAAGAAATAAGGGATCTCCCTTCTCCATCACTGCAGAAGTGAAACGCTCAGTGTAACTGAGGGAAAAATTTGGTGCTAAGGGTTTGAGAAACTAGGGCTTCTCGACCCCCCAGTCACCTCCAGACATGGCTGCTTTCTATTGTTTTTGGTTTCTCATTTTCAGATATGATGTAATAATGCACAGAAAGCAAAGGAAATTATGGACAGAACCACAGTTGTGGATGCAATAAAAGATGGGAGGTAGGGAAATCACTAAATGGACCCACAGCACAGAACCACCACAATGTATAGACCTTAACAGGAGCTGACATACTGAGTTGAGGATCTAAATACAACTAGAAAGATACACTTTACTAGATCATTAATGTCAATACTTGTGCAAAGCCATTTTCTTTAAAGATATCATCATATTTGTTCTAAATTCCCTAGTGAGGTTATTTCCATTTCTTTTATTAAGAAAAATAAAGTTATGTCAAGACACAGTTGCACAAAGCTTTACTGGTCATTTTTAACAGGGATTCTAACAATTTACAGAGAATTGTTACACCTCATGTCCCTTTTGAATCTCTCAATTACCTCTGCTTACAATAAAATTGACCCATTTCCGGAATGAGGAAGCTGAGCCTTGAAGATTCAGTATCTTAGCCAAGAACATGCTGTCTGCTAGTGCTAGAGCTGGGACTAGAACCCATAAGCCCTGCATCTCAAAGGTTTCATTTCAAGCAAAACATTCAGTTCAGTTGGGTCCACCAATATTTACTGATAGTGTACAATGATTCAGGATTTCGTAATTCAGTCTAGTAAATTATTTTCAAAATAAACATTAATTTCATTAATAATTACAGCCCCAGTTGACTAGATTGAGAGGTCAGAAGAGTTTGGTTTTATAACATTTAGTACTTAGGTAAGTCAAAGGCCTTGGAGAAGCCTTTATACAGGGCAAAGAAAAGCAATAACTTGGTCCCTGACTCATGAAACTCTAAACTCTAACAGAAATATACTACCTTATTTTGGGTAAAATAAGCTCGGTTGCTGTCTTTATAATAATCATTTCATTCCTCAGGAGGTAGGGGTCCCAGCTCAGCTCCTCCTCTCTCCTGCTGAGCTGCGGCTCCTTCCTAGACCTTTCAGTTTACAGAAAGAAAGAATTATAGATAATGTGTAGATAGAAGGGATATCTGAGATCAACTACTCTAAACTTTGCTTTTTTTTTTTTAAGAAATGAGCAATTATTGACTCAGTGAGACAAAGTATCACAATCACAATGCCTCAGTATAAGACTTTTTCTTTTCTTTTTTTTTTTTTAGACAGAGTCTCGCTCTGTCACCCAGGCTGGAGTGCAGTGGTGCGATCTCGGCTCACTGCAATTTCCAGCTCCTGGGTTCATGCCATTCTCCTGCCTCAGCCTCCCAAGTAGCTGGGACTACAGGTGCCCACCACCACGCCCAGCTAATTTTTTTGTATTTTTAGTACAGACAGGGTTTCACCATGTTGGGCAGGATGATCTTGATCTCCCGACCTTGTGATCCACCCACCTAGGTCTCCCAAAGTGCTGGGATTACAGGCATGAGCCACAACGCCCAGCCAAGACTTTTCTTAGAATCCCAGTTTTTCAACTCCCAATTCAGTGACATGTCACATCCCATCTCATAGAATTCACATCTCAGTCCAAATGATCAGGGGAGTATCAACATTAAGCCCTCCACAGTCACTGAGTAATACAAACCTCAGCTTGACTAGAATGGTGGATTAGAGTAGGCTTTTGAAACAGTTTGGGGTTTCTGGCAACACTAAGTGGAAAGTATATAATTACCACATGCCTCTTTCCCTGCACCCACACACAGTCTCTCTCACAATCAAGAACTCTCATTAGTTACAATCAATGAACCAACATTGACGCATCATCATCAACCAAAGCTCATAGTTTATGTAGGGTTCATTCTTTGTGTTGTACATTCTATGGGATTTGACTAATGCATAATGACATGTGCCATTGTAATATCACATAAAATAGCTTTACTGCCCTAAGAACCTCTGTGCTTTACGTGTTCTCTCTCCCTTCCTTGCAAGCCCTAGCAACAAATAATCTTTGCAGTGTAGGCATAGTTTTGCCTTTTCCAAAATGTAATACGGTTGGAATCATACAGTATGTAGCCTTTTAAGATTTAACTTACTCATATGTATAAAGTTTCTGCATGTCTTTTCATGGCTTGATAGTTCATTCCTTGTTAACACTAAATAACATTCATTGTATAGGTTTATCACGTTGTCTATTCATTTATCTATTGAAGAACATCTTGGTGATTTCTAATTTTTGACAATGATGAATAAAGCTGCTATAAATATCCATGTGCAGATTTTTGTGTGGAAATGTATTTTCAACTTATTTGGCAAATACCAAAGAGCACAACTACCAGATAATGTGGTAAACATATTTTAGTTTTTTTAGGCACTGCCCATCTGTCTCCTGAAGTGTCTTTATCATTTTGCATTTCCACCAGCAATGACTTAGTTCTCATTGCTGCACATCCTTGTCAACATTTGGTTTTATCAGTGTTTTGGATTTTAGCCATTGTATAAGTGTGTAGTTGTATCTCATTGGGGTTTTAGTTTGCAGGTCCGTAGTGACGTTTAATGATGAGCATTTTTCATATATTTATTTGCCATCTGTATTTCTTCTTGGGTGAGGTGTCTGTTCAGATCTGTTGCCCATTTTTTAAATCAAGGTGTCTGATTTCTAATTGTGGAGTTTTAAAAATTTTTGGAGAGAAGTCGTTTATCAGATATATCTTTTGAAAGTATTTCTCCCAGTCTCTGTCTTTTCATCTCATTCCCTTGATAGTGTCTTTTGCAGAGTAGAAGTTTAAATTTTAATAAGGTCCAGCTTAGTCATTCTTTATTTCATGGATTATACCTTCATTGTAGTATTTTAAAAACCATTGCTGATCAAGGTCATCTTTATTTTCTCCTATCTTATACTATCAGAGATTCATAGTTTTGCATTTTATATTTGGATCTAATATATATATGTATATATATATATACACACACGTATATATATATATATATATATATACACATATATATATATATACACATATATATATATATACACATATATATATATATATATTTTTTTTTTTTTTTTTTTTTTTCCTGAGACTGAGTCTCACTCTGTCACCTAGGCTGGAGTGCAGTGGCTCTCAACTCGGCTCACTTCAACCTCTGCCTCCTGAGTTCAAGCGATTCTCCTGCCTCAGCCTCTTGACAACCTGGGACTACAGGTGCGTGCCACCATGCCCAGCTAATTTTTTGTATTTTTAGTAGAGATGGGGGTTTCACCGTGTTAGCCAGGATGGTCTCGATCTCCTGACCTGTGATCTGCCTACCTCAGCCTCCCAAAGTACTGGGAATACTGGCATAAGCCACTGCACCCGGCTTAGATCTATAATATATTTTTAGTTAACTTTCATTAAAGGTGTAAGGTCTATTTCCAGATTCATTTTTCCGTATGTGAACCTCCAGTTACTCCATTAGTCTTCGTTGAAAAGACCATTTTTCCCCCATTGAATTGTCTTTCCTTTTTTTTCAAAGATCAGTTGACTATATTTCTGATGATCTACTTCAGACTCTTTACTCACTTGCATTAATCTATTTGACTTTTTTCACCAATTGCACACTGTCTTGATTAGCTTCATAGTAAGTCTTGAAGTTGAATTGGGTAAGGTCAGTCATTTGACTTTGTTCTCCTTAACGTTGGCTATTCTGGGTTTTTTGGCCTCTCCACATAAACTTTACAATCAGATTGTTAGCATCTAAAGATAAAAAATAATAAAAATAATAAAACTTTCCTGGAGTTTGATTCTTATTGTGTTGATCTATAGATCAAATCAAAAAGACTAACAACGGTCTTCATATCCATGAACATGAAATATTTGTGTATTTATTTATATCTTTGTTTTCTTTCATCAGAGTTTTGTAGTTTTCTTCAAGTGATATATGTATTTTGACAGACTTCCACCTAGGGATTTCATATTTTTGGTGCTAATATAAATGATACTATGTTTTTAATTCCAAATTCTAATTATTTATTGTTAATATAGAGAAAAGAATTTGATTTCCTTGTATCCTGCAACCTTACTACAATAGCTTATTACTTTTAGGAGTTTTTTCATTATTGTTGTTTTCTTTTTGTTTTGTTTTGTTTTTTTTATTTTTGGAGGTTTTTTGATTCTTTGAGATTTTCTACATAAACAATCATGCGATCTAAACACAATAGTTTTATTTCTTTATTCCTGATTGGTATCACTTTTATTTCTTTTTCTTGTTATCTCATTAAAAAGGGTTTCTAGTACGATGTTGAATAGGAGTAGTTTCATGGAACATCTCACTTTATTCTTGTTATTAGCCAGAAAATTTCAAGTTTCTCACCAATAATGATGTTAGCGGTAGGTTTTTTGCACATATTCTTTATTAAATTGAGAAAGTTCCTCCTCTATTCTTAGTTCGCTGAGAGTTTTTATCATGAATGTGTGCTGGATTTAGGCAAATTTTTTTTCTGCACCTGTGGATATGATGATGAGACTTTTCTTCTTTAGTAACTAATGTGATGAAGTAAAATATTTGATTTTCATATGTTGAGTAACTCTTGCATTTCTAAAATAAATCCCACTTAGTTATGGTGTATACAGTTTTTCTACACGATTGGATGCAATTTGCTAATCTTTTATTGAGGTTTGCACCTATTTTCATTAGATATACTGATATATAGTTTTGCTTTCTTACAATGTCCTTGTCTGATTTGAGTATTAGAGTAATGCTGGCCCCATAAAATGAGTTAAGAATAGAAGAATTTCCTCTGGTACTACTTCTAGAAGAGATTGTAGAGAACGGGTATAATTCTTCTATAAATGTTTGGTAGAATTTACCAGTGGACCTATATGGGTCTGGTGTTTTCTCTTTTGGAGGTTATTTATTTTTTATTTTATTACTTTAATAAATAAAGGCCTATTCAAATTATCTATTTCTTCTTGTGTGAGACTTAGAAGATTGTTTCTTTATGGAATTGATCCATTTTATCCAAGTTATATAATCTGTGGGCATGGAGTTCTTTATAATATTCATTTATTATCCTTTTAATGTCCATGGTATCAATAGTGATGGTTCTTCTTTTAATTTTGATGATAGGAAAATCTGTATTCTCCCTTTTTATCTTGGTTAGGCTGGCTAGATATATATTGATATAATTTTCAAATAACCAGCTTTTGTTTTTACTAATTTTCTCTATTGATTTCTTGTTTTCAATTTCATTGATTTCTGCTCTTTTATTGTTTCTTTTGCTCTGCTTTCTTTGGATATAATTTGTCCTTCTTTCTCTGGTTCCCTAAGGTGGATGTTTAGATTACTGACTTTGTATCCTTTTCTTTTCTAATTTATGCCCCCAATGCTAGAAGTTTCCCTCTAACCACTGCTTTCACTACATCCTACAAATTTTTTAAAGTTCTATTTTTATTTTGTTAAGTTCCAAATATTTTAATCCCTCTTGAGATTTATTATTTTACCCATATTTTATTAAGAAATGTGCTGTTTACTCTCTAAGTATTTTGTGATATTCCAGCTCAATATCTGTTATCAATTTCTAGTTTAATTCAACTGTGGTCTCATAGCAGACATTGTATGATTCACATTCTTTTAAACTTCCTAAGATATGTTTTGTTGCCCAGAATGTGGTCTATATTGGTGAATGTTCTATGTGAGCTTGAGAAGAATGTGTATTCTGCTTTTGTAGGGTAAAGTATTCTATAAATGCCAATTCAAATCAGTTGATTGATGGTACTATTCAGTTCAAATCTGTCTTTAATGATTTTCTGCATGCTGAATCTGTCCATTTTTAATAGAGGAGTGTTTAATTCTCCAGCTGTAATAGTGGAGTCATCTATTTCTCATTGTAGTTCTATCAGTTTTTGCCTCATGTATTTTGACCTTATTGTTGGGTGCATACACTTTATTATTTCTCCTTAGAGAATTTAACTCTTTATCATTATATAACACTCTTCCTAACCTCTAATAATTTTTTCTTACTCTGGAGATGGCTTCATCTGAAACTAATATAGCTATTCCCATTTCCTTTTGGTTGGTGTTAGCATGGTATATTTTTCTCCTTCATTTACTTGAAATCTATATGTATATTTATATCTCAAATGGGTCTCTTATAGACAACATACACATATTTGGCTCTTGTTTTTTTATCTACTCTGACCGTCTCTGTCTTTCCAACGGTTAAAATGACTTTAATATAGTTGAACTATTATCTACCATATATGCGTTACTGTTTTCTACTCATTGCCCTTGTTCGTTGTTTCTATTTTTGTCCTCAACTCTTTTTCTGCCTTCTGTGGTTTTAATTGAGCATGTTATATGAGTCTATTTTCTTTTTCTCCTTAATATTACTTGTTTTTTCTTACTTTTTTGTAGTTTCCGTATTATGTGCAATATGTGTTTACAATTAACCCAAGTCTACATTAAAATAGCACTATACTACTTCATAGGTAGTGCACTTACCTGTAAAAAAATATTCTTACTTCTTTCCTCCCTTCTTCATATATCATCACTGTCATTTATTTCATTTATCCATAAACTGTAATCACCAAATATATATTTTTGTTGTTGCTGTTTTGTTTGTTTTGTTTTGTTTTGTTTTTGAGATGGAGTTTCACTCTTGTTACACAGGCTGAAGTGCAATAGTATGATCTCGGCTCACTGCAACTTCTGCCTCCTGCCTTCAAGCAATTCTTCTGCCTCAGCCTCCCAAGTAGCTGGGATTACAGGAATGTGCCACCACTCCTTGCTAATTTTGTATTTTTAGTAGAGACAGTGTTTCTCTATGTTGGTCAGGTTGGTCTGGAACTCCTGACCTCAGGTGATCCGCCCTCCTCGGGCTCCCAAAGTGCTGGGATTACAGGTGTGAGCCACTTTTGCAGGGCCATGTTATTGTTATTATTTTGAAAAAAGTGTTGTCTGTTAGACCAATCAATAAGAAAATAAAAATGTTATGTTCCTTTTATTATTCCTTCACTAACTCCCTTCCTTTCCTCATGTAGATCAGTGATTGACTTACACCATTTTCTTCTCTCTGAAGAACTTTATTTAACATTTTTTGCAAGGCAGGAACTAGAGATAAATTTTCTCAATTTTTTTGTGTGAGAATCTTTATTTCTCCATCACTTGTGAAGGAGAATTTTGCCAGATACACAAATCAAGATGGGTGGGATTTTTTCCAATACTTTTAATACAGTCATGCACCATATACCAACATTTTGTTCAACAGGTGATTTCATTTACTATGTTGTTCCATAAGATTATAATGGGGCTGAGGCTGGGCATGGTGGCTCACACCTATAATCCCAGCACTTTGGGAGGCCAAGGCGGGTGGATCACTTGAGGTCAGGAGATCGAGAACAGCCTGGCCAACATGGTGAAATTTCATTTTTACTAAAAGTACAAAAATTAGCTGGCTGTGGTGGCAGGCACCTGTAGTCCCAGCTACTAGGGAGGCTGAGGCAGGAGAATAGCTTGAAACTCAGAGATGGAGGTTGCAGTGAGCCAAGATCACACCACTGCACTTCAGCCTGTGTGACAGAGTGCAACTCTGTCTCAGAAAAAAGATTACAATGGAGCTGAAAGATGATTTCTGCCACCTAGATACTCATACTCATCATAATATCTTGGTACAACACATTTTTCATGTGTATGTGGTGACACTGATGTAAACAAACCTACTGCACTGCCAGTTGTATAAAAATATAGCACATATCAGGTACAGTACATAATACTCAATAACTATAGTAAATGACTCTGTTACTGGTTTATGTATTTACTATACTATACTTTTACTGTTATTTCAAAGTGTTGTGTTCTTCTACGACTCATTTTCTTTTAAGTTAACTATTAAACAACCTCAGGCAGGTACTTCAGGAGTTATTCCAGAAGAAGGCAATGTTACATAGGCGATTACAGCTTCATATGTGTTATTGCCCCTGAAAACCTTACAGTGGGACAAGATGTGGCAGTAGAATATGGTGATATTGGTGATCCTGACCTTGCATACTCCTAGGCTAATGTGTTTTGTGTCCTAGTTTTTAATAAAATGATTTAAGAAGAAACCCTGTCTCTTCTGAAAATACAAAAAATTAGCCAGTGTGGTGGTGCACATCTGTAGTCCCAGCTACTTGGGAGACTGAGGCCCAAGAATCACTTGAACCCAGGAGGCAGAGGTTGCAGTGAGCCAAGATCACACCACTGCACTCCAGCCTGGCTGACAGAGTGAGACTCTGTCTCAAAAAAATAAAAATTAATTTTAAAAAAATCTATAAAAAAAAAAACCAATTTTGTCAATTTCAGTTCTTAGCACAGTGGCACCTACCAATGCCCCATACTTCAGCCCCTGGCAGGAAGCTGTACACATGTTCCTGGAGCAGCTTATTCACAGCTTGCAGGAGCTGGGATGGGCAAAAAAGAACCTATCTTCTGAATATTGAAGACCTGTCCTCTGATGACTGCTGCTTTTGAAAACTTAGGTACAGACACAGATTGGGAACCCATTATTGCTACAATTCCCCCAAGTCTTGGCAAGCTCCCCCAACAAGTGACTTCCAGGGTATTTAAAGGACTGACACCTTTTCCCTCTCCTATTTGTGTTTCTCTTTTTTCCCTTTTGGGAGATAGACATTAAAGACTAAGACATTTAAAAACTGGCTATGTGGGAAAAATTAGACACTTAACACACATGCCACAGCAAAGTCTTCACTAAGGTCTTGAATAGACCTTACGTTAATACCTTGGGCTAATAAGTGGCACAGAGACAGCCTACAGCAAACAAACTTTAAAAACAAATGAAGGGATGCAACATTACTGATTAGATCTGGCACTCACTTCCTCCACAAAAAGTAACCAAAATAATGAGTAGATAATCACACATTGAATAGATCATCTAAGAGAAGATGTTTGAATTCAACAGAGCGGTTGCCAGAAACATGTAAAGGAAGGAAGTAGAGAAAAGTGAGGCAGCCTGCTGGACCAGGATTATCTGGGAGCCTGGGGAGTCTCCCTATTTTGGGGAAAAGTAAGTAAGAGACCCCTGGTACTCTGCATTCCTACAAAGGATTCTTGAGATCCTAGCCACAGGAGAGTCCTGAGAACCTCAAGGACAAGGAGACTAATACTCCTTACCTAAGAATTTTAGAAGTAATTGGGCTTCCCTATTATCTAAAATTGGCACCTGGTTTCACTTACTTTAACTTATAAGTAACTAGAATTTCTATATATCTCCAGAATGCATGATGCCAAAACTCGTTCAACCCCTGCTGACATTAAGGCACCAAAATGTCTACAAATGTAATCATGTATTATGCAAATTGTCCTTTAGCTCCCAACCCTATACTGGCATCGGTAAATTCTTCTTACCAACCCACAAGTCCACCACTTTCCAATGCCAGGGCTCCGACACCTCGCCTGGCAGACACCAAGTCTTGCTTAATCTTAAACACTGAAACCAGTTAAAGCCTCATCTTCAGACCCAGTAGAAGATACCAATCAAAATAAACTTCATTTGTGAGACACAGGCCAGAAATTAAAACTATGCAACTCCTCAAAGCGCAGGGACTATCATGGAAGAGGTGGGCACATGAGATTGTGAGGGTCGATTTTGAGAGAAAAAATATGTTTTTTCTCTATAAATTAACCATTAATGTCAAAGGCAAGACCAGCACATGGGGCCCTGTGTCAGATTAACAAGGTTTTCTTGCAGCGTTAACCCACTCCTAAATAAAAGGTTATAAAGGTTACATAAAAGGCTTATGGGCCGGGCACAGTGGCTCATGCCTGTAATCCCAGCAGTTTGGGAGCCTGAGGCAGGTGAATCATCTGAGGTCAGAAGTTCAAGACTGACCTGGTCAACATGGTGAAACCCCATCTCCACTAAAAATACAAAAAATTAGCCAGGTGTGGTGGTGTGTACCTGTAATCCCAACTACTCAGGAGGCTGAGGCAGGAAAATAGCTTGAAGCAGGGGGGTGGATGTTGCAGTGAGCTGAGAGTGTGACACTGCCCTCTAGCCTGGGTGACAGAGTGAGACTCCATCTTGAAAAAAAAAAAAGATATATCTTATGGTCAAGATGATCAAAACTTCATAGATTTTTAATAAATTTTTGAAAAACAAATTTAACTGGCCTCATGCTGTCTTTATTAGGACTTATAGTTTGGGAAATTGTATTTTCTCTCACAAAGAATAAAGGTTTTCAACTTTTTTTTCTCAAATCTTTGAGTTATCACTTTGGTTAAATGAATGACTTATTTTACAATGACCTGTGATCCTATTTTGTGATATCAAGTGTCTTAAACATTTTATATTTAACAAACTTTCCAAAATCAAATTCTATCTTTGGTCCTCATTAATTTTTTGATATTCATCCTCTGAAGTCCAAAAGAGATATATTTGGCTTATTTGATATAATAAAATCATACAGAAAATATTGTCATATATAAAGTGGTGTTTAGCCTTCTTTGGATTATATTTATATAAATGTGTTACTAGTATGTGTTCCAGAATTCTATGAAATTCCTGTGTTTCTGATATGTCTTAGCATATGTTATCAGTAGTAATTTTGATTATTATGTAAAATTGTTATATGCCATAGAATTAACCAAATTTCCTTGTCAATTGTATATTTAATTATGACTGTTCTGAGACTTTTGTCATCCACAGCTGTTTTACTTTTATCCTTTTCAAAAGGTGGTTTTATAATCAGCTATAAGACTCTGACAAGTGTGCTTGAATGCAGGTTTCTGATAACTTTGGAGATTGTGACACTAGAATAAAGGAAAAACTTCCAAGACTCCCATGGAGAACTGAAATATTCATGAATATCAAGCAAAACAACAGTTAACTGCATGAGCTGAACTAACAGAAGACTGAAATAATTATTTTATGACATTTGGCTTAAAACATTGCTAATCCTTTGTCTGTTTTTCAGAGCCAAGGAAACTTTTCTTTTGAGCTATATGCAGCTTTTAATAATTGAGTACAGTATAAACAAAATTTGGAGCATATTTCTTTCTACCTGATTTCTTCAAAACTTGGAAGCTAGCCATGAGTATTCTTAACTTATAACAATACAGTTACTTACATAAGATTAATAAGAATTTATTTTCTTTTGTAACAGGACACAGTTGGAGATCCTGGTTATTTTACAAGGTTTTGACTGGAATGGCATGCATTCAGCTACAAACAGGCTCTTGTAAGGAATCAAAATTGACTTGTAGAGCCAATAAAAGTGCCCCTGGGAAAGCTGGCCTCATACCTGGTTTACACAGTCACTGTACAAATTTCTGTCCCAGGATAATTAAAGAATGTCATTTTCTGACAGCCCAGGAGCCCCAAATTTTCCTGGGACCTTGAGGTGAGGAATTCATCCAATTGACACAGGAATTTGCAGGTACAAGCTGGGCCTAAGGCATTAAAGCTAAATCTGAGATTTTTTATGACATAAAGTTCTAGCAAAACCAATTTAAACCAAAAAAAAAAGGAGCCTAAATGGCAAACAATTATTCTTGCTGACTTTATGCAAATACTCTGGCCAAGTATAAGACTAAAACTTATTTTGCAAATGAATTTGTCCTATGATTTGTCTTTAGTGAAAATGGGACTACAAAGAGAAAAATTATGTTTCACAATAAGCTATAGCACAATTGTTTTTAGATTGTAGTCTTGCCTAATAATTTTCAATTTTTATTATTTTCTAAAGTTTGGCCTGAATTTGAGAATTTTTCCTGCCTACAATTCTCTAAAATAATGTTTTTCTTTTTTTCTTGTTTCCTTTCATTTTTTCCCCATTTTTTCCTTATTTGAGGCAACTAAAATTTAAGCTATTCTTTCTTAAAGTTCTGCAAACTGAAGCTAGACAACTTAAACTTCAGAAGAAAATAACAGTAACCTATTTACATACATAAACCACTTTCATACCTGTCTACTAAAGTATGGACTTCAGGGTAATATATCAATTTTCCAGGATTGTTCTTTTTGTTGTTGTTGTTTGTTGTTGTTTTTCTCCCTTCTTCTTCTGATTTTCTCTTCATAAAATGTGAGACTTTACCACCTGTTAAAAATGAGCTTTCCTAATAATATGGGACCTATCCATCTTGGAATACATTGTCCTAACCATGAGAGATCAGACAAAACCTGAAACCAGAGACTCATTTTCTTGAGAAATGCTTTTTCCAAGAGAAAAAAAAAAAAAGCTGGAAAATGTGAAAGGAAAATACATCTTAGGGTCTCCAGATCACTAAGCCATAGGGAAAAGTCAAGCTGGGAACCATGTTGGGCAAACCTGCCTCTCATTCTATTCCTAAATAAGATTGCTACAAAGAGCTTAAAAAGCTACATACCTCCCTCACAATTTGCCCACAAGAAAATCACTTGTGGACAAGGGACAGACAGAACTCAAAGTCATCTCTCTGTTTATGTGAGACAAATGAATATCTGATTGCTTCCCCTGCCTTATTGTTTTACTAAGCCACTCTAAGGAATAAGCGACTATTCCTGTAAATTGTGTATTCAGTGAAAGGCTAATCAGAAACCCAAAAGAATGCAACAATTTGTCTTTTATCTACCTATGTCCTGGAACCCCCCTCCCCACTTTGAGTTGTCCCATCTTTCCAGACTAAATGAATGCGCATCTTACATATATTGATTGATGTCTCATGTGTCCCCAAAATGTATAAAACTAAGCTGTTCCCTGATGACTTTGACCACATGTTATCAGGATCTCCTGAAGTTGTGTCATGGGTGTGTCCTTAATCTTGGCAAAATAAGCTTCCTAAATTGACTGAGACTTGTCTCAGATATTTTGAGTTCACAAACTAAAGTAAGATACGATAAAGGTTTTAAAAAAAGATGTATGAACAAAATATAAATATTAATAAGGAGATAAAAAACCTGAAATTAAACCAAAAAGAAATTCTAGAGCTTAAAAGTGTAATAACTGAGATTAAAAATTCACTAGTGGGATTCAAAAGCAGATTTGAGCAGGCAGAAGAAAGAATCAGAGACCATGAAGATAGGTCAGTGGAAAGTATCAAGCCTGATAAACAGATGGAAAAGAAGATTAAAGAAAATTAAATAGAGCCTAAGGGATCTGTGGGAGCCCATCAAGCAGACCAACATATGCATTATGGAAATCCAAGGAAGAAAAAGGATAAATAGACGGAATATTTAAAGAAACAGTCATTTAAAACTACCCAAATTTGATGACAGTTATGAATATAAACATTAAAGAAGCTCAAGAAACTCCAATGAATGTATCCTCAGAGACCCACATCAAGACACATTATAACTTAATTTTCAAAAGACAATGACAGAGTTTCTGAAAGCAACTAAAGAGAATTTTCACTACTTTATCATTAAGCTTTTTCCAAAGCACTAGAAGGCAAAGAATAATATTTTTTTATTTTTCAAATGGGGAAAGGGAGATCTATCTAGTGTCTCATATCTTGTTATGTGGCAGAACTCGGATTTGAATGGAGATCTTATGATTTGCATTGTGGTACATTATTGCTTATACCACAGCTGCCTCAAGAGCAATTTTAGCAAAACAAAACAAACTCCAAAAGCATTAGTTGCCCTGAATGTGTACTCTAGTAATTCTGTTCCTTCATCAAAAAAGTCATCACATCATATAGAAGACTGTTATTTCACTCCAAGGAGACAAAGGTCACAGGTGTTCAAGAAGATGGAAAAAATACAGTGTTTTCCTCTCTCCATTACTGCAGAAGTAAGACATGCTCAGAATAACCAATAGAAGAGCCAATCTCAGAGAATTTAGTAGAGAACACTTGAGAAATTATGGCTTCTCCCATCTCTTAGTCACCTCCAGAAATAGCTGTATCTGTAACTTTTTTGCCCTGTCATTGTCAGAAATAATAGAATAAAGTAATATACACCAAGAAAGGGAGATGATAGAACAGCAAAAAAATGTGCTTCAGTGGTATATGGGAGGTAGGTATATTATTAAACAGACAGACAATACAGAATGACTACAATGTACAAAACGGAATGGAAAACTACATTTTTTTGTTATGAGGATCACCAGGCATATCTTGAAGATATTATGTGCTCAATTCCAGACCACCACAATAATGCAAATATTTCAATAGAGCAGGACACATGAATTTTTTGGTTTCCTAGTATGTATAAAAGTTATATTTACACTAAGTGTGCAATAGCGTTACATCTAAAAAGTGTGCATAACAATTTTAAAATACTTTATGACTACAAAATGCTAGTGATCATTAGAGTCTTCAGCAAGTCATAATCTTGTTGCTAGTGGAGGGTCTTACCTCAGTGTTGGTTGCTGACTGATCATGGTAGTGCTTGCTGAATCTTTGAGTGGCTGTGAAAATTTCTTAAAATAAGACAACAATGAAGCTTGCCACATTAATTGACTCTTCCTTTTATGAAAGATTTTTCTATAGCATGTGATGCTGTTTGATAACTTTTCATCCACAGTAAAACTTCTTCCAAAATTGGAATCAATCCTCTGAAATCTCACTGCTTCTTCACCAACAAAGTTTATGTAATATTTTAAACCCTTTTTTGTCATTTTAACAATGTTCAACAGTAGTAGATTCATTGTCAAGGAAACAATTTCACTGCTTATCTGTAAGAAGCAAGTAACTTCTCATCCAGTAGAGTTTGATCATAAGATTGCAGCAATTTAGTCACGTTTTCAACCTCCACTTCTAATTTTCTTACTATTTCCACCACATCTGCATTTACTTTCTTTACTGAAGTCTTGAACCCCTCCAAGTCATCTATGATGGTTGGGATCAATTTCTTCCAACTCAGGTTAATATTGATAGTTTAAATCCTCCCATGAATTACAAATGTTCTTAATCTTTTTCAAAATGTTTTTAATTTACTTTGCCCACATTAACCAGAGGAATCAGTATCTCTGGTAGGTATAGCCTTCTGAAATGTACTTATCAAATAATAAGACTTACAAGTTGAATTTACTACTTGATTCATGACTGCAGAATAAATGTTGTGTCATCAGTAATGAAAAGAACATCTCCTGATCCATCTCCATCAGAGCTCATGGGTGCCATGATTAGGAGCATTGTCAAGGAGCAGTAATATTTTCAAAAGAATTTTTTTCTGAGTGGTAGATCTCAAAAGTGGTCTTAAGATATTCAGTAAATTATGATGCATACTGATGTGCTGTCGTTGAGACTTTGTTGCTTTTTTTTCTTGAAAAAAATTTTTGAAGTATTCCCTCAAATATGTTTTCCATGTGGTTTACTTTATCTTCTCTCTCAGGAATGCCAATAATTCATAGGTTTCATTGCTAGACATAATCACATATTTCTCAAAGCTTTCTTCATTTTCTAAAATTCTTTTTCTTTATTTCTCTCTGACTGGGTTAGTTCAAAAGACTGGTCTTCAGACTCTGAAATTCTTTCTTCTGCTTGATCCAGTCTCTTGGTAAATCTTTCCATTGTATTCTGAAATTCTTTAAGTGAATTTTTCAATTCCAGAATTTTGATTGATTTTTTAAAGATGTTTATCTTTTTCTTCATTTCCCCGGTTGCTTTAGTAGTTCCTTTGTGTTGATTTTCAACTTGTCGTGAATCTCATTGATCTTCCTTGCAATCTATATTTTGAATTCTTTATATGTCATTTCTGAGTTCCCATTTTGGTTAGGGTTCATTTCTGGAGAGCTAGCAAGATCTTTTGATGGTTTACAAATTCAGATATTTCATAATATCAGAATTCTCATGATGGTTCCTTCTCATGTGGAGAGGATGCCACTTTAAATTTTTGAAATTATTTTCTGTGGATAGAATTTTTCCTTTTCTTATTATTTCTTTTCCTTTATCCTTCTCTCCCTTCCTATGGGGTGTGACTGTAGAGTATATTGGGTAAGTTCTTTTGGATTTTCTTCTATAGCCTTATTCTCTCTGTCAGCAGATTTTATATTAAACTGTCTGACTCAACTTACAAGCAAGTAGATGGCACTTACAGGTAAGAACCAGCTGTGGCACAAGCAGATGGGTATGTAGTGGATCTTTGTTTACTGTGAGATGTTCTCTGTTGTTTCAGGTGATAGGCTGGACATTGGAGTGCCCAGTTCCCTGAGCTTCCTGTTCTGTGGGGATGCAGGGCCACAGCTGGGCAAAGCTGGCTTGCCCATAAATACCTCAGTGATGAGCACAGGCATGGGATTTGATGAGTATGGGTGAGAGGAGCTCCTGGTAAGATTCACTGATATCTCTGCAAAGGGCAACTGGGCTGCACCAGCTCCATGTCCTAGATAGGCAGAAACAAAATGTTTTCCTCTCACACATAGGCACAAAAATTGAAATAGTATCAAACATCTTCTCTGACTACAATGGAATAAAACTAGAAATCAGCTGGGTTCTTTGGCTCACGCCTGTAATCCCAACATTTTGGGAGGCTGAGGTGGGTGGATAACCTGAGGTCAGGAGTTTGAGACCAGTCCGACCAACATGAAGAAACTCCATCTTTACTAAAAATTAAAAAAATTAGCCAGATGTAGTGGTGCATGCCCATAATCCCAGCTACTCAGGAAGCTGAGGCAGGAGAATCACTTGAACTTGGGAGGCAGAGGTTGTGGTGAGCCAAGATCACACCATTGCACTCCAGCCTTGGCAACAAGAGCAAAACTCCATCTCAAAAAGGAAAAAAAAACACAAACTAGAAATCAATAACAAAAATATTGGAAACTGTACAAATACATGGAAATTAAACAATACACTCCTGAATGACCAGTGGGTGAATGAAGAAATTAAGATGGAAATTGAAAAAATTATAGAAAAAAATAACAGTGGAAACACAACATATGAAAACCTATGGAATGCAGCAAAAGTAGTACAAAGAGGGAGTTTACAACTATAACTGCTTACATCACAAAACAGGAAAAACTTCAGATAAGCAATCTAATGATGCATCTTAAAAAATAAGTAAAGCAACAGCAAACCAAACCCAACATTAGCAGAAAAAAAGAAATCATAAAGATCAAAGAGGAAATAAATAAAATTGAAATTTAAAAACAATACAAAAGATCAATGAAACAAGACATTTGTTTTTTGAAAAGTTAAACAAAATTGACAAACCTTTTGCCAGATTAAGAAAAAGGGAGAGAGAATACAAATAAATCAGAGATGAAAAAGGAGATATTACAACTGATACTGCAGAAATTCAAAGGATCATTAGTGGCTACTATGAGCAACTACATGCCAATAAATTGGAAAATCTGGAAGAAATTGACAATTTTCTAGACATATACAACCTACCAAGATTGAATCATGAAGAAATCCAAAACCTGAACAGACTACTAACAAGCAACAAGATCAAAGTCTTAAGAAAAAGTCTCTCAGTTAAGAAAACCAAGGACCTAATGGCTTCACTGCTGAATTCTAGCAAACATTTAAAGAGAATAATACCAATCCTACTCAAACTATTCCAAAAAATAGAGGAGGAGGAAATACTCCCAAACTCATTCTACAAGGCCAGTATTACCCTGACACCAAAACCAGACAAAAAAAAGAAAATTACAGGCTAATATCTCTGATAAATATTGATGCAAATATCCTCAAAAAATACTAGCAAACCAAAATCAACAACACATTAGAAAGATCATGTATCATGACTAAGTGGGATTTATCACTGGGATGCAAGGATGGTTTAATATACACAGATTAGGCAATGTGATATACCAATAGAATGAAGGATGAGAACAATATGATTATTTCAATTGATGCTGAAAAAGCATTTAATACAATTCAACATTCCTTCATGATAAAAGCCCTCAAAAAACTCGGGATAGAAGGAACATACCTCGACATAATAAAAGCCATATATGATAGACCCCTGTTAGTATCATACTGAATGGGGAAAACTGAAAGCCTTTCCTCTATGACCTGGAACATGACAAAGATGCCTACTTGTCACCACTGCTATTCAACATATTACTGGAAGTCCTAGCTAGAGCAGTCAGACAACAGAAAGATATAAAGGGCATCCAAATTGGAAGGGAAGAAGTCAAATTACTCTTGTTTGCAGATGATATAATCTTATATTTGGAAAAGTCTAGAAACTTCTCAAGAAAATTATTAGAACTGACAAATTCGGTAAAGTTGCAGGATAAAAAACCTACATACAAAAATCAGTAGCATTTCTATATGCCAACAATGAACAATTTGAAAAAGAAATAGAGGAAGTAATTCCATTACAGTAGCTACACACAAAATAAAATACCTAGGAATAACTTAACCAAAGATCTCTACAATGAAAACTATAAAACATTGATAAAAGAAATTGAAGAGAACACCAAAAAATGGAAAGATATTCCATGTTGATGGACTGGAAGAATTAATACTGTTAAAATGTTCATACTATCCTAAGCACTTCATATATTCAGTGTAATCCCCATCAAAACACCAATGACATTTTTCACAGAAATAGAAAAACAAATCTTATAATTCATAGGGAATGAAAAAAAACCCAGAATAGAAAAAGCTATCCAAAGCCAAAAGAACAAAACTGAAGGAATCATATTACCTGACTTCAAATTATAGTACAGAGCTATAGTAATCAGAACAGCATGGTACTGGCATTAAAACAGATACATAGCCAATGGAACAGAATAGAGAACCCAGAAATAAATCCACTCACCTAAAATGAACTCATTTTTCACAAAATTGCCAAGAACATACACTGGCGAAAGGATAGTTTCTTCAATAAATGGTGCAGAGAAAACTGGACTTCTATATGCAGAAAAATGAAGCTGGACCCGTATCGCTCATCATATACAAAAATCAAATTAAAATAAATTGAAGACTTAAATCTAAGATCTCAAACTATGAAACTACTAAAAGAAAGTATCAAGGAAACTCTCCAGGACATTGATCTTGGCAAAAATTTCTTGAGTAATACCTCAAAAGCACAGACTACCAAAGCAAAAATGGACAAATGGGATCATATTAAGTTTGAAAAGATTCTGCAAAGCAAAAATTCAATGAAGTGAAGCAACAACCCACAGAATTGGAGAAAATATTTACACACTATCCATCTAACAAAAGATTAATAACCAGAATATGTAAGGAGCTCAAACAACTCAATAGGGAAAAAAATCTAATAATTCTATTTTTTAAATGGGCCAAAGATTTGAATAGAAATTTCTCAAAAGAAGACACACAAATGGAAAACAGATATATAAAAATACTCAACATCATTAAAACTCAACCCACTTAAAATGGCTTTTATCCAAAAGATAGGCAATAATTGATGCTGGCAAGGATGTGTATAAAAGAGAACACTTGTACATTGTTGGTGGGCATGTAAATTAGTACAATCTCTATAGAAAACATTTTAGCAACCTAGTATGGAGGTTCCTCAAAAACTAAAAATAGAACTACGATATTATGCAGCAATCCCCCTGCTAGATATATACTCAAAAGAAAGAAAATCAGTATATTGAAGAGATACCTGCATTCCCATGTTTATTGCAGCACTATTTATAATAGCCAAGATTTGGAGTGTGTTCAACAGATAAATGGATAAAAAGAATGTGGTACATTTATACAATAGAATATTATTCGGTCATAACGAAAGAATGACATCCTGTTATTTGCAACAACATGGATGTAACTGGAAGATATTGTGTTAAATGAAATAAGCCAGGCACAGAAATACAAATATATGTTCACTCATATGTGGGAGCTAAAAGTTAAAACAATTGAATTCATGGAGATAGTAGAATGATGGTTTCCAGAGGCTGAGAAGGTTAGCAGAAATTGGGGGATATAGGTGGGGATGGTTAGTGAGTGTAAAAATATAGTTACATATAATGAATAAGACCCAGTATTTGAAAGCACAGTAGGGTGACTACAATCAATGATGATTTATTGTATATTTGAAAATAACTAAAAGATTGGAATTGGAATGTACCTACCACCAGTAGGCACATAACATGACCCCAATTACTCTGATGTGATTATTACACATTGTATGCCTGTATCAAAACATCAAATGTACCCCATAAATATAAGTACCTATAATGTAATTTTCATACCCATCATACTCCCATTATTCTCTCAATTACTTTTGCCTACTCTCATTTTAGGGATGAGGAAGCTGGGCCTCAGAAATTCAGTGTATTGACCAAGGACATGGTGTCTACAGGTGCTATGGAACCCATAACCTCTGAGTCTTGCATCCTTTCTCCCAAATAAAACATTCAATTCAACTGGGTTTGCTAACATTGACTGATTGTGTGCTGTGTTTCAATATTTCACGATTCAGCCTAATGAGTGACTTGCAAAATAAATATTAATTTAGTTAATAATTACAGTGCCAATCAACTAAAATGGGAGTCAGAGAGTGTAGTTTTATACAACCTTTATTACTTGAGTGAGTCTAGATCTTGGTTAATTCTACACCCAGGGTGAAGAGTTACTACCTAACTCCCATACCTACAAATTCTAGAAGAACTACACCATCTTATTTTTGATAAAATAAGGTCAATTGCTCTCTTTACAGCAATCATTTTATTCCTTGAGAAGTGAATGTCCCTGATTTGCCTTCCTACCTTTTGATGAAATGAGTCTCCTGCTTAGACCTTTCTATTGATAGAATGAAAGAATCATAGATAAGTTAAAGATAGGAGGGACCTCTAATTTTGATTTTTTTTTTTTTAGGAATGAGCATTTGCTGACCCAATGAGATAAAGAGCCACCAATGCAAAAGTGTGTTAAAATTTCAGCTTTTCAACTCCCAGTTTAATGACATCCCACATCGCATCCTGTAAAACACACATCTCAATCAAAATGATCAGAAGAGTATCAGCATTAAGCCCTCCACAGCTTGGCTAGAATTGTGGATTACAGTGGGGATTTTTTAATTAGTAGAATTTATTTTTTAGGATTGTTTTGGATTCCCAGCAGAACTAAGTGGAAAGTACACAGTTCCCACATACTCCCTCCTCTCACCCACAGATAACCTCCCCAACAATTAGTTACTCTCAGCAATGAGGTTTCATAGCTACAATCAATAGACCAATATTGACACATCACCATCAACAAAGTCCAGCTTATATAGGGTTCACTCTTTGTGTTGTACATTCAATGGGCTTTGACTAATGTATGATATGTATCCAGCATGTTAGTATCATATAGAATAGCTTCAATCCCCTAAAAGTCCTCTGTGCTCTGCCTATTCATTCCTCTCTTTCCCCAAGCCCTTGGCAAAAATTTTAGTGTCATCATTGTTTTGCCTTTTCCAGTATGTCATATAGTTGGAATCACACAGTATATAGCTTTTTCAGGTTAGTTTATTTTAGTTACTGGTATGCATGTTTCTCCTATGTCTTTTCATGGCTTGACAGCTCATTTCTTTTTAACAATAAGCAATATTCCATTGCATGGATTTAACACCATGTTTATTCACCTATTGAAAAACATATTGGTTGCTTCCAGTATTTGGCAATGACAAAAAGTTGTTAAAATCACCCATGTGCGGGTTTTTGTGTAGAAATAAGTTTTCAACTCATTTAGATAAATACTGAGATCTCTTGGTGCTGAGATGAAGCTGTCCCTATTCGATTTGGACTGGTCCCATATTGGAAAGAAGTGATCGGTGACTAGGAGTCAGTGCCAAAACTCTTTTAGCCACATCTGGGCAACAAAGAAGTTTCAGAAAAGTGGTCCCCAGGCTGTCTGCCTGGAGTTTACTGTTAAGTTTAATTTTGTCTGTTCTGTAGATAATGGCTATAATCTCAAAGTGCTGGGCCAGCATTCTTCTGTTAGGAATTGCACTTCTGCAGAAATTTAACAAGTTACAGGTAAAAACACAAAAAGGAAAATACAAAGTAATTAATAGTAGCATGATAATCTCAGTTTGTAAAATAGTTTTAAGCCATGGACCTAGGTTTAAAGGCAACCAATTGAAAAATCAAATGACCATAGGGAATTAAGTGAGACGTGTAACCATGTGGCCCATTTTCTTATTTTGAATATATGGGTCTCAGCTTTCCCAGAGGAATTTATTCAGGTAAAGCATGTAATATTACCTATAGCACAGACCTGGCTCTAATGAAGAAACTGATGGATTTGTACAACTTCTAACTCAAATCGAGCAGAATGAAAATTAAGTAAATATTCATCATGATAGCCCACCACAGGAAAAAAAAATAATTATGTGAGATCAAATAACTGATAAAGATGATATTTTTATGACTTATTTGAAACCTTGTTGATTCTTTAATGTTTTGCTTTTCAGATTTAAGGAAACTTTTCAGCTATTTATAGTTTATAGCAATTTGGTAAAGTACACTTTTGTGAATAAAGGTAGAAATTTTTACCTTTTGCCCCTACTTGATCCCTCCAAAATTGGGAAACTATTCATGAGTATTTCTATGGTAATATGGTTATTTGCACGAATTCAATAAAAATCTGCTCTCATTATAACAGGATACAATCGGAAACAGTTATACTACCATCAGCATAGCACGTTCCTAACCTCAAAGGGTAGGAGAACAAAGCTGGGAGCCAGATACTAGTCCCTGAGAGTTAGAGCCTGTAACCCAGGAGTGCTGAGCTGAGTCTTGGCACCCTAAAATCTCCCAGAAATGAAGCCTCCCAGATAGGCTACTCGGGGGTCAGGGACCCACTTGAGGAGGCAGTCTGTCCGTTCTCAGATCTCAAACTCCGTGCTGGGAGAACCACTACTCTCTTCAAAGCTGTCAGATAGAGACATTTAAGTCTGCAGAGTTTTCTGCTGCCTTTTGTTCAGCTATGCCCTGCCCCCAGAGGTGGAGTCTACAGAGGCAGGCATGCCTCCTTGAGCTGTGGTGGGCTCCACCCAGTTTGAGCTTCCTGGCTGCTTTGTTTACCTACTCAAGACTCAGCAATGGTGGGTGCCTCTCCCCCAGCCTCGATGCCACCTTGCAGTTCGATCTCAGACTGCTGTGCTAGCAATGAGTGAGGCTCCATAGACATGGGACCCTCTGAGCCAGGCATGGAATATAATCTCCAGGTGTGCCGTTTGCTAAGACCATTGGAGAAGCACAGTATTAGGGTGGGAGTGACCCAATTTTCCAGGTGCCGTCCATCACACCTTTGTTTGTCTAGTTCAGCTAGTCAACTGAACCTACCTTGTACAACAATCAAACCCCCCAAGGACATCAAAGAAGATAAAAGCAAAAAAAAAAAAAAAGTCACACAAAAGACAGTAACTTCAAATATTGAAGGAACATCAGCCCACACAGATGAGAAAGAACCAGAGCAAGAACTCTGGCAACTCCAAAAGCCAGAGTGTCTTCTACCTCCAAACAACCACTCTAGTTCCCCAGCAATGGTTCTTTTCTTTTCAAGGTATAGTGATGTTTTATTTTACTTTCACTTATTTCTTCTCTGGTGCTCTTCATTTTTTTAAATTATTATTATTATTATTATTATACTTTAAGTTCTAGGGTACTTGTGCACAATGTGCAGGTTTGTTACATATGCACACACGTCCCATGTTGGTGTGCTGTAACCATTAACTCGTCTTTTACATTAGGTATGTCTCCTAATGCTATCCCTCCCCACTCCCCCCACCCCATGACAGGCCCCATTGTGTGATATTCCCCAACATGTGTCCAAGTGTTCTCATTGTACAATTCCCACCTATGAGTGAGAACATGTGGTGTTTGGTTTTCTGTCCTGGCAATAGTTTGCTGAGAATGATGGTTTCTAGCTTCATCCATGTCTCTACAAAGGACATGAACTCATCCTTTTTTATGGCTTCATAGTATTCCATGGTGTATATCTGCCATATTTTCTTAATCCAGTCTATCACTGATGGACATTTGAGTTGGTTCCCAGTCTTTGCTATTGTGAATAGTGCTGCTATAAACATATCTGTGCATGTGTCTTTATAGCAGCATGATTCATAATCCTTTGGGTATATGCCCAGTAATGGGATGGCTGGGTCAAATTGTATTTCTAGTTCCAGATCCTTGAGGAATGGCCACACTGTCTTCCACAATGGTTGAACTAGTTTACAGTCCCACCAACAGTATAAATGCATTCCAATTTCTCCACATCCTCTCCAGCACCTGTTGTTTCCTGACTTTTTAATGATCGCCATTCTACTGGTGTGAGATGGTATCTCATTGTGGTTTTGATTTGCATTTCTCTGATGGCCAGTGATGATGAGCATTTTTTCATGTGTCTTTTGGCTGCATAAAAGTCTTCTTTTGAGAAGTATCTGTTCATATCCTTTGCCCAATTTTTGATGGGGTTGTTTGATTTTTTCTTGTAAATTTGTTTAAGTTCATTGTAGATTCTGGATATTAGCCCTTTGTCAGATGGGTAGATTGTAAAAATTTTCTCCCATTCTGTAGGTTGCCTGTTCACTCTGATGGTAGTTTCTTTTGCTGTACAGAAGGTCTTTAGTTTAAATAGATCCCATTTGTCGATTTTGGCTTCTGTTGCCATTGCTTTTGGTGTTTTAGACATGAAGTCCTTGCCCACGCCTATGTCCTGAATGGTATTGCCTAGGTTTTCTTCTAGGGTTTTTATGGCTTTAGGTCTAACATTTAAGTCTTTAATCCATCTTGAATTAATGTCTGTATAAGGTGTAAAGAAGGAATCCAGTTTCAGCTTTCTACATATGGCTTACCAGTTTTTCCAGCACCATTTATTAAATAGGGAATCCTTTCCCCGTTTCTTGTTTTTGTCAGATTTGTCAAAGATCAGATGGTTGTAGATGTGTGGTATTATTTCTGAGGGCCCTATTCTGTTCCATTGATCTATATCTCTGTTTTGGTACCAGGACCATGTTGTTTTGGTTACTGTAGACTTTTTTTTTTATTGTACTTTAAGTTTTAGGGTACATGGGCACAATGTGCAGGTTAGTTACATATGTATACATGTGCCATGTTGGTGTGCTGCACCCATTAACTCGTCATTTAGCATTAGGTATATCTCCAAATGCTATCACTCCCCCCTCCCTCCACGGCACAGCAGGCACTAGTGTGTGATGTTCCCCTGCCTGTGTCCATGTGTTCTCATTGTTCAATTCCCACCTGTGAGTGAGACCATGCAGTGTTTGGTTTTTTGTCCTTGCGATAGTTTGCTGAGAATGACAGTTTCCAGCTTCAACCATGTCCCTACAAAGGATATGAACTCATCATTTCTTATGGCTGCATAGTATTCCATTGTGTATATCTGTCACATTTTCTTAATCCAGTCCATCATTGTTGGACATTTGGCTTGGTTCCAAGTCGTTGCTATTGTGAATAGTGCCACAATAAACATACATGTGCATGTGTCTTTACAGCAGCATGATTTATAATCCTTTGGCTATATACCCAGTAAGGAGATGGCTGGGTTAAATTGTATTTCTAGTTCTAGATCATTGAGGAATCGCCACACCAACTTGCACAATGGTTGAACTAGTTTACAGTCCCACCAACAGTGTAAACGTGTTCCTATTTCTCCACATCCTCTCCAGCACCTGTTGTTTCCTGACTTTTTAATGATCGCCATTCTAACTGGTGTGAGATGGTATCTCATTGTGGTTTTGATTTGCATTTCTCTGATGGCCAGTGATGATGAGCATTTTTTCATGTGTCTTTTGGCTGTATAAATGTCTTCTTTTGAGAAGTGTCTGTTCATATCCTTTGCCCACTTTTTGATGGCGTTGTTTGTTTTTTTCTTGTAAATTTGTTTGAGTTCATTGTAGATTCTGGATATTAGTCCTTTGTCAGATGAGTAGGTTGCAAAAATTTTCTCCCATTCTGTAAGTTGCCTGTTCACTCTGATGGTAGTTTCTTTTGCTGTGCAGAAGCTCTTTAGTTTAATTAGATCCCATTTGTCAATTTTGGCTTTTGTTGCCATTGCTTTTGGTGTTTTAGACATGAAGTCGTTGCCCATGCCTATGTCCTGAATGGTATTGCCTAGGTTTTCTTCTAGGGTTTTTATGGTTTTAGGTCTAACATGTAAGTCTTTAATCCATCTTGAATTAATTTTTGTATAAGGTGTAAGGAAGGGATCCAGTTTCAGCTTTCTACATATGGCTAGAGAGTTTTCCTAGCACCATTTATTAAATAGGGAATCCTTTCCCCATTGCTTGTTTTTGTCAGGTTTGTCAAATATCAGATGATTGTAGCTATGCAGCATCATTTCTGAGGGCTCTGTTCTGTTCCATTGGTCTATATCTCTGTTTTAGTACCAGTACCATGCTGTTTTGGTTACTGTAGCCTTGTAGTATATTTTGAAGTCAGGTAGCATGATGCCTCCAGCTTTGTTCTTTTGGCTTAGGATTGACTTGGAAATGTGGGGTCTTTTTTGGTTCCATATGAACTTTAAAGTAGTTTTTTCCAATGCTGTGAATAAACTCATTGGTAGCTTGATGGTGATGGCATTGAATCAATAAATTGCCTTGGGCAGTATGGCCATTTTCACAATATTGATTCTTCCTAACCATAAGCATGGAATGTTCCTCCATTTGTTTGTATCCTCTTTTATTTCATTGAGCAGTGGTTTGTAGTTCTCCCTGAAGAGGTCCTTCACATCCCTTGTAAGTTGGATTCCTAGGTATTTTATTCTCTTTGAAGCAATTGTGAATGAGAGTTCACTCATGATTTGGCTCTCTGTTTGTCTGTTATTGGTGTATAAGAATGCTTGTGATTTTTGCACATTGATTTTGTATCCTGAGACATTGCTGAAGTTGCCTATCAGCTTAAGGAGATTTGGGGTTGAGATGATGGGGTTCCCTAGATATACAATCATGTCATCTGCAAACAGGGACAATTTGACTTCCTCTTTTCCTAATTGAATGCCCTTTATTTCTTTCTCCTGCCTTATTGCCCTGGCCAGAACTTCCAACACTATGTTGAATAGGAATGGTGAGAGAGGGCATCCCTGTCTTGTGCCAGTTTTCAAAGGGAATGCTTCCAGTTTTTGCCCATTCATTATGATATTGGCTGTGGGTTTGTCATAGATAGCTCTTATTATTTTGAGATACATCCCACCAATACCTAATTTATTGCGACTTTTTAGCATGAGGGGCTGTTGAATTTTGTCAAAGGCCTTTTCTGCATCTATTGAGATAATCATGTGGTTTTTGTCTTTGGTTCTGTTTATATGCTGGATTATGTTTACTGATTTGTGTATGTTGAACCAGCCTTGCATCCCAGGGATGAAGCCCACTTGATCATGCTGGATAAGCTTTTTGATATGCTGCTGGATTTCGTTTGCCAGTATTTTTTTGAGGATTTTTGCATCGATATTCATCATGGATATTGATCTAAAATTCTCTTTTTTTGTTGTGTCTCTGCCAGACTTTGGTATCAGGATGATGCCAGCCTCATCAAATGAGTTAGGGAGGAGATGAGCTGTTAGTCTGATGGTCTTCCCTTTGTGGGTAACCCGACCTTTCTCTCTGGCTACCCTTAACATTTTTTCCTTCATTTCAACTTTGGTAAATCTGACAAATACGTGTCTTAGAGATGCTCTTCTCAAGGAGTATCTTTGTGGCATTCTCTATATTTCCTGAATTTGAATGTTGGCCTGCCTTGCTAGATTGGAGAAGTTCTCCAGGATAATATCCTGCAGAGTGTTTTCCAACTTGGTTCCATTCTCCCTGTCACTTTCAGGTACACCAATCAGACGCAGATTTGGTCTTTTCACATAGTCCCATATTTCTTGGAGGCTTTGTTCATTTATTTTTAGTTTTTCTCTAAACATCTCTTCTCACCTCATGTCATTCATTTGATCTTCAATCACTGATACCCTCTCTTCCAGTTGATCGAATTGGCTACTGAAGCTTGTACATTTTTCACGTAGTTCTTGTGCCACGGTTTTCAGTTCCATCAGGTCCTTTAAGGACTTCTCTGCATTGGTTATTCTAGTTAGCCATTCATCTAATCTTTTTTCAAGGTTTTTAACTTCTTTGCCATGGGTTTGAACTTCCTCCTTTAGTTCAGAGAAGTTTGATCATCTGAAGCCTTCTTCTCTCAACTCAACAAAGTCATTCTCTGTCCAGGTTTGTTCCATTGCTGATGAGGAGCTGTGTTCCTTTGGAGGAGGAGAGGTGCTCTGATTTTTAGAATTTTCAGTTTTTCTGTTCTGTTTTTTCATCATCTTTGTGTTTTTATCTACCTTTGTTCTTTGATGATGGTGATGTACAGATGGGGTTTTGGTGTGGATCTCCTTTCTGTTTGTTAGTTTTCCTTTTAACAGTCAGGACTGTCAGCTGCAGATCTGTTGGAATTTGCCTGAGGTCCACTCCAGACCCTGTTTTCCTGGGTATCAGCAGCAGAGGCTGCAGAACAGTGGATATTGCTGAACAGCAAATGTTGCTGTCGGATCATTCCTCTGGAGGTTTTGTCTCAGAGGGGTACCCAGCTGTATGAGATGTCAGTCTGCCCCTGCTGGGGAGTACCTCCCAGTTATGCTACTCAGGGTTCAGGGACCCACTTGAGGAGGCAGTCTGTCCATTCTCAGATCTCAAACTCCATGCTGGGAGAAACACTACTCTCTTCAAAGCTGTGAGACAGGGACATTTAAGTCTGCAGAGGTTTCTGCTGCCTTTTGTTTGGCTATGCCCTGCCACCAGAGGTGGAGTCTACAGAGACAGGCAGGCCTCCTTGAGCTGTGGTGGGCTCCACCAGTTCGAGCTTCCTGACTGCTTTGTTTACCTACTCAAGACTCAGCAATGGTGGGTGCCCCTCCCCCAGCCTTGCTGCTGCCTTGCAGTTCAATCTCAGACTGCTGTGCTAGCAATGAGTGAGGCTCCATAGGCACGGGACTCTCTGAGCCATGCACAGTATATAATCTCCTGGTGTGCCGTTTGCTAAGACTGTTGGAATAGTGCAGTATTAGGGTGGGAGTGACCCAATTTTCCAGGAGCTATCTGTCACACCTTTGTTTGGCTAGGAAAGGGAATTCCCCATCCCCTTGTACTTCCCGGGTGAGGTGATGCCTTGACCTGCTTCAGCTCACACTCAGTGCACTGCACCCACTGTCCTGCACCCACTGCCTGACAAGCCCCAGTGAGATGAACCTGGTACCTCAGTTGGAAATGCAGAAATCACTCATCTTCTGTGTCACTCACGCTGGGAGCTATAGACTGGAGCTGTTCCTATTCAGCCATCTTGGATGATTTGCTTTTTTAAGAAGTTTAATGATCATGGCTAATATAAGCAAAATACATAGCATATATAGTGGCTGACTTCTCAAATAAAATCTCTAATCACAAAACACTTCCATTACCAGTTTTCTTCAGGCAAAAAAATTATAGCAAATGACTGTGAAGCAAAGCAAATTATACCTTACAACTTCAAATGTTTGTCTTCTGGCAAAAAGCATTATTTTATTCCACTATTTCTGACAATGACACATAAAAGAAAAAAATACTCCACAGGAAATATTTGCTTTACAATAACATATTTTAATTATTGGCCTCTATTAATACAGAAGGCATGTTGAGGAATGTTCCTTTAATATAACATATAAACTTTAATAACTGGCCTCCAGTAATACAGAAGGTTATAAAAGACATTAAAGGTTATATGTGACAAGCCCACAGCTAACAACATATTTAATGTGGAAAAGCTAAAAGCTTTTCCTGTAAGATCAGAAGTAAGACAAGAATGCTCTCTCTCACCATTTCTGTTCAACAGAGTACTGGAAGCCCTAGTCAGAGCAATTAGATGAAAGAAAGAAAATATTCATATAGCAATATTCATATTCAAAAGGATGTATTCATATAGGAGAGGATGAAATGAAATTGTCTGTTTCCTGATGGCATAATCTTATATCTAGAAAATCCTAAAGACTTCAGTACAAAAGTGTGAGAACTGATAAACAAATTCAGTAAACTTTCAGGATACAAAATAAACAGGCAAAAATCAGTGACATTTCCATACACTAACAACAAACTGCCTGAAAAAGAAATTAATAGAACAATCAATTTACAGTAGCATCAAAAAATAAAATACTTAGGAATAAATTTAACCAAGGAAGAGAAACTTCTATATACTGAAAACTACCAATCACTGATGAAAGAAATTGAAGATGACACAAATAAATGCAAAAATACCCATGTTCAAGGATTGGAAAAACTAATGGTGGAAAAATGTCCATACTAACCAAAGCAATATATAGATTCAATGCCATCTCTATCAAAAGTTTTATCTCTTTCTTCACAGAAATAGAAAAAAAAATATTAAAATTTGTATGGAACCACAAAATACCTCAAATAGCCAAAGCAATCTTAATCAAAAAGAATAAAGCTGGAGGCATCACACTATTGAATTGCAAAATATGTTACAAAGCTATAGTAAACAAAACAGCATAGCATTGGCATAAAAACAGACACATTAATTAAAGGAAAAGGATAGAAAGTCCTGAAATAAGCCCACACATCTATAGTCAATTGATGTTTGACAAAGGTGCCAAGAACATACAACAGGGAAAGCACTCTTCAGCAAAGGGTGTTGGGAAAACTGGATATTCATAGGCAAAAGAATAAAAGTGAACCTTAATCTCACCTTATACAAGAATTAACTCAAAATGAATGAAAGTCTTAAGCATAAGACCTGAGAAAAACTCCATGTCATTGGTCTAGGCAAAGATTTCTTGGATATGATCCTAAAAGCACAGGCAATGAAAGCAAAACCAGACAAATGAGATTCTGACAACCTAAAAAGCTTCTGCACAGCAAAGGAAACAAGTCATAGAGTCAAGAGACAATCCATGGATTGGGAGAAAATATTTGCAAATCAGACATAAGGGGCTAATACACAAAATATATAGAAACTCAATTTAATCAATAACAAGAAAATAAATAATTCTACTTAAAATGAGCAATGGGGTCAAGTGCAATGGCTCAAGTCTGTAATCCCAGCACTTTGAGAGACCAAGGTGGGTGGATTGCTTGAGTCCAAGAGTTGAAGACCAACCTGGGAAACATAATGAGACCACATCTCTACAAAATATTAAAAAATTATACAGGCATGGTGGCATGCACCTGTAGTCCCAACTACTTGAGGGACTAAAGTGGGAGGATGGCTTGAGCCCAGGAGCTCAAGGCTACAGTGAGCCATGATCCCATCACTACACTCCAGCCTAGGCAACAGAGAAAAACCCTGTCTCTGAAAATAAATAAATAAATAAGTTAGTAAAATGGGCAAAGGATTTGAGTAGACATTTTTCAAAAGAAGACATACAAACAGCCAATAAATATATTTTTTAGTACTCAACAAATTTAATCATCAGAGAAATGCAAATTAAAACCACAATGAGATATCACATCACAACTCTTAGATTGGCTATTATTATGTGTATTGTAAAACAGCTATAAAAGAGAGGATTTTAAATGTTCTTACTACAAAGAAATGACAAATATTTGAGATGATGGATATGCTAATTATCCTGATATGATCAATTCACAATGCATACATGTATCAAAATGTAAAATTGTACCCCATTAATATATACAATTGTCATTTATCACTTAAAAATAAAATAAAACTTTAAGAATCGTGAGGTTAAATACACCTTATACATTACTAGAGGAGCATAAAGCATACTTACATTGGTTAAGGATTTGCTCATGTCCTTAACATCTAACTGCAGGATATTTCCAATAATCAGGAGAGGAGTAGGGCCAAATAGGAGCCTCCCTCTTCCAGAGCTCTGCCTCCAGAGTGAAAGGAGAAACAAACAGGAGAGACAGAGCACCAGAGCCACAGCTGGATCCATTGAAGGCTTCCCTTCTTAGTAAGACAACTGTAGGCTTTCACTTCAAGGCTTTTATGACACTCCGTGCCAATCCACCTGTGATTCTGACTCTGACTGTGACAAGTCAGAAAGAAGCATTTTAATCTCTCTTCTGAATGAACATTGGCTGACTGAAAAAGATAAAAATAAGGTGTTTTATTTTCTTGTTCTCCTTTCCAAAGCCCCACCCTGGTTTAACTAGTCTGAAGCAGAGCCCAAGTGTTTGTTTGTTTGCTTGTTTGTTTGTTTTTAGATGGAGTTTGCTCTTGTTGCCCAGGCTGGAGTGCAATGGCAAGATCTCAGCTCACTGCAACCTCTGCCTCCTGGGTTCAAGAGATTCACCTGCCTTAGCTTCCAGCATAGCTGGGATTACAGGCATGTGCCACCACGTCCGGCTAACTTTTTATTTTTAGTAGAGATGGGGTTTCACCATGTTGGTCAGGCTGGTCTCAAACTCCTGACCTCAGGTGATCCACCTGCCTCGGCCTTCCAAAGTGGTGGGATTACAGGCATGAGCCAGCGCGCCCCGCCAGGCCCAGGTTTTTTTAAACACCCCAGGTGGTTCCACTGTGCAGCCAAAATTGAGAACCAATGAAGTAAACTTCTTCATCAAAAAATTACTCAAAAGTTTGGATTCTTAGATTGATGACCAGTTGGAAATATAACTTTGAGGGCAATCTATGTATTATATCCCTTGTATGTACAATAATGTTTATCCTATTGAGGGGAGTTAGCCAGCTTGCTTTAGGCAGGCAGTAAGGGAAGGGTCCCCAGAGAACCTCCAACCCTTCCAGGTCATTGCCCAATCCACAAAAACCCCAAGTACTTACACTAGATGTTTTGTGCAGATAAGGGAACTTGCACAGGGAGCTTGCCTAAATATGCCCACAGTGAAAAATTCCTACCTTTAACACATGCACAGGAAGGGAAATAAATCAATATGGAGTGGCTTAGACTAAGAGCCCACATGCGCAATGGAAGGAAGGGTGGAAACACCAGCAATTCATGCCTTATGCAAATAAGTATCCCAGCCTCATCAGCTTTTCTACAAAAGTATTGGTATTCAACTGTGAAGTGGCAATCTGCAACCTGCTTTCAGGGACTCTCTCTTTGCTGAGAGTTTCCTTTCACTTAATAAATTCTACTCCACTCACTCTCTGGTGTCTGTGTGCCTAATTCTTCATGCATGAGACAACTCAGACCTAGCTGAGCTAAGGATCAGCAAGACTGCAACACTATAATGCTTTCTCAAACACTAGATCATTTTCCTTGAACATGAGATCCTTTTGAAATATTTTAGTGTAGTACTAACATTACAGCTGCCTAAACATAAAACAGCTAACAATCTCACTCATCTTAAATGGCTAAACAGATTATCAATTAACTAGCTAAGTAAACATACACACCTTTTTCCATTAAACCCCCTGAAAAACACTGGATGGCTGAGAATATTATTTCATATTTTTCAAATGGGGAAAGGGAGACTCTAGGAGAACAGATGACCTGTCCAGTGTCCCACAGCTCATAAATGGCAGGCTGGGATTTGAACTGAGATCTTCCGATGCCCACTGTGGTGCTTTATCATTTACACCAGAACTGCCTTGAGAACAGTTTTAGTAAAATTAAATAAATCCTACAACCATTCATCACTCTGAATGTATACCACACTGTTCACAAAATAACAGGGCTGTACATTCTCAAGAGAAGTAAAAACTTGTGTTTCTCCCCTCTCTGTCACTGCAGAGGTGAATCCTACTCAGTATAACTGAGGAAAGAGCCAATCTCAGAGAATTTAGTGGGTAAGATCTCAGAAACTATGGCTTCTCAACCTCCCAGTTGCCTCCAGACACAGCTGTTTCTGTTGCTTTTTTGGCCGTCTGTGTCAGAAATAATGGAATGAAATATTGCACAGCAAGGAAGGGGAATTATAGGCAGAACAACAGGCATGGGCTTCAGTGGTGAATGGGAGGTAGGGAAATCATTAAACAGACCCATGGCACAGAACAAACACAGTTGTGCAGACCTGAACTGGAGATGACATTTAGTGCTCATGAGGCTCTATATATCACTAAAATGATACATACATTTCTAGATCACTAATGGCAATGCTTGTACAAAGGCATATTCTGTAAAGATATCATTGTGGTATTCTAAATGATTAGCACAGTTTTTTGTTTACTTTATTTCTATTGTATATATTTAAGGTAAACAACATTGGTAGACATACCTAGAGTGGAATTATTACTACAGTTAAACAAGTTTACATATTCATCAATTCTATAACTACCTTCTTTTTTCGTGGTATAAGCACCTAAAATCTACTCTTTTAGCAGGTTTTCAGGGTAGTGTATTAACTATATTACTCTTGCTGTTTATTAGATTTTTAGACTTATTCATCCTATCTAACAGCAAATTTGTGCCCCCTCTCACTTTTGGTAACCACCATTCTACTCTCTGTTTCTATGTATTTGACTTTTTAAAGATTCTTCATATAAATGAAATCATGCAATCTTTTTTCATCTGCATCTGGCTTATATCACTTAGCATAATATCCTCCAGGTTCATTCCATGTTGATGCAAAAGGCAATATCTCCTTTTTAAGTTTAAAAATATTCCAATGAGTATATAAATATACACCACAATTTCTTCATCCATTTATTTGTCCATGAACACTTAGGTCATTTCCGTATCTTGGCTATTGGAAATAATATTGGATTAATGCAGTTATTTCTAACTGCAATGAGGAAAATTCAAGCTTTGTCAAGAACCCATATCAACAATGTTTTATCAAACATGTTTACAGGGATTCTGACAATTTATAGAGAATTTTTATACCCATCATAACCCTTTTGATTCTCTCAATTACCCTTGCCTGTGGTAAAATTATTCCCACTTTAGAGATAAGGAAGCTGGGTCTTAGAGATTCAGTATTTTGTTCAAGGACACAGAGACTGAAGATGATAGGGCCAAGTCTTACATCATTCCCTCCAAGCAAGAAATTCAATCCACCAGAGACACCAACATTTACTTACCATGTACTATGAGGCAATATTTCATTACTCAGGATAATCAGTGACTTTCAAATACACATTAACCAACTCAGCAGTTGCAACACAGGTTGATTACAATTAGGGTGTGGTTTTGCAACCTTTAGAATTTGAGTCGGTGGAGGTTTTGGTGAATAATTTATCTGAGACAAAGAGAAACAGTTATTTTACTGCTTGGCTTATGTAGCTCTGAACTCTCAAAGAAGTGCACTACCTTGTTTTAGATAAAATGATCTCAATGCCTTTCTTTAAAACAATCATTTTATTTCTTGAAAAATGGGTCTCTGTTACTCCTTTCTGTTAAGACTTCTGCCGGTCCTTTCAAAGAATGAAAGAAGCAGATAATTAGAGACAGAAGGGGTCTTAAGAGATCCACTAGCCTAATCCCTACTTTATTATTAGAAATGAGGAATTGGTGAATAAGTGAGGTGAACTGTCACTAGTGCATTAGTACACAATCTTCCTTTTTAGAATCCAGGTTTTAATTCCCAGTTCAGTGATTCTCACATTGCAGAGATTTATCATTGCCCAGATGGTCAGGAGGGCATCTGGCTGAAGCCCTCCACAGTCACGGAGTAATGCAAACCTCAGCTTGGGTGGAATTGTGAATGCAAACTGCTTCTTTTTAAATAAACCTTTTCAATGGAGTGTAATATACAAACAGAATGTTAGAAACTTCCTAAATGTATATAGCTCAATGAATTATCATGAACTGAATATATCTGTGTAATCAACACACAGGTCAAGAAAAATAATTTTGCCAGGACCCCAGAAGCCCCTTTATGTCTCCTCCTACCTTCCTCTCCCACTAGATAATTCCAGTATTATGCCATAGATTAGTGTTGCCTGTTTGTGAACTTAACATTAATGGAATCATATTATGTATTTTTTAGTATCTAGTATTTTCTTTTTTTTTTTTTTTGAGACAGAGTCTCACTCTTGTTGCCTTGCTGGAGTGCAATGGCACAATCTCAGCTCACTGCAATCTCCACCTCCCAGCTTCAAGCAATTCTGCTACCTCAGCCTCCTGAGTAGCTGGGATTACAGGCATGTGCCACCACTCCCGGCTAATTTTTTGTATTTTTAGTAGAGATGGGGTTTCTCCATGTTGGTCAGGCTGGTCTCGAACTCCTAACCTCAGGTGATCCACCCTCCTCGGCCTCCCAAAGTTCTGGGATTACAGGTATGAGCCACTAAGCCTGGCCAAGAATCTAGTATTTTCATTTAATTTTGCTTGTGAGATTCATTCATGTTGTCACAAATAGCAGTACGTAAGTTAGGCTTAGAGTGTTTTATTTTATAACAATTCCAAAATTTATCTTTTCATTGTATTGTTATGAAATTTTGAGATGATTCTAGTTTGTGGTTATTGTGAATTGTGCTGTTATTACTCTAATACATTGTTATCCCAATATAAGGATTTATGTTGATATAACTATGAGCATAATTGCTGGATGTGCATGTGCTCGGTTTTATGAATGACTGCCAAAGAATTATCCCAGGGTTTTAGTAAATTCACAACTGTACTGAGAGTGCCAGCTGCTTCTCTTTCTTGCCAACACTTAGCATATTGTCTTTTTTCATTTTAACCATTTTGATGTGTGTGTAATAATATCTTATTAGGTATATCTCCTAATGCTATCCCTCCCCCCTCCCCCCACCACACAACAGTCTCTGGTGTGTGATGCTTCCTTTCCTGTGTCCATGTGTTCTCATTGTTCAATTCCACCTATGATGAGAACATGCAGTGTTTGGTATTTTGTCCTTGTGATAGTTTGCTGAGAATGATGGTTTCCAGCTTCCTTCATGTCCCTACAAAGGACATGAACTCATCATTTTTTATGGCTGCATACTATTCCATGGTGTATATCGGCCACATTTCCTTAATCCAGTCTATCATTGTTGGACATTTGGGTTGGTTCCAAGTCTTTGCTATTGTGAATAGTGCCACAATAAACATACGTCTGCATGTGCCTTTATAGCAGCATGATTTATAATCCTTTGGGTAGATACCGAGTAATGGGATGGCTGGGTCAAATGGTATTTCTAGTTCCAGATCCCAGAGGAATTGCCACACCAACTTCCACAATGGTTGAACTAGTTTACAGTCCCACCAACAGTGTAAAAGTGTTCCTATATCTCCACCTCCTCTCCAGCACCTGTTGTTTCCTGACTTTTTAATGATTGCCATTCTAACTGGTGTGAGATGGTATCTCATTGTGGTTTTGATCTGCATTTCTCTGATGGCCAGTGATGATGAGCATTTTTTCATGTGTTTTTTGGCTGCATAAATGTCTTCTTTTGAGAAGTGTCTGCTCATATCCTTCACCCACTTTTTCATGGGGTTGTTTGTTTTTTCCTTGTAAATTTGTTTGAGTTCATTGTAGAGTCTGGATATTAGCCCTTTGTCAGATGAGTAGATTGCAAAAATTTTCTCCCATTCTGTAGGTTGCCTGTTCACTCTGATGGTGGTTTCTTTTGCTGTGCAGAAGCTCTTTAGTTTAATTAGATCCCATTTGTCAATTTAGGCTTTTGTTGCCATTGCTTTTGCTTTTGGTGTTTTAGACATGAAGTCGTTGCCCATGCCTCTGTCCTGAATGGCATTGCCTATGTTTTCTTCTAGGGTTTTTATGGTTTTAGGTCTAACATATAAGTCTTTAATCCATCTTGAATTAATTTTTGTATAAGGTGTAAGGAAGGGATCCAGTTTCAGCTTTCTACATATGGCTAGCCAGTTTTCCCAGCGCCATTTATTAAATCGAGAATCCTTTCCCCATTGCTTGTTTTTGTCAGGTTTGTCAAAGATCAGATAATTGTAGATATGTGGCATTATTTCTGAGGGCTCTGTTCTGTTCCATTGGTCTGCATCTCTGTTTTGGTACCAGTACCATGCTGTTTTGGTTACTGTAGCCTTCTAGTATAGTTTGAAGTCAGGTAGTGTGATGCCTCCAGCTTTGTTCTTTTGGCTTAGGATTGACTTGGCGATGTGGGCTCTTTTTTGGTTCCATATGAACTTCAAAGTAGTTTTTTTCCAATTCTGTGAAGAAAGTCATTAGTAGCTTGATGGGGATGGCATTGAATCTATAAATTACCTTGGGCAGTATGGCCATTTTCACGATATTGATTCTTCCTACCCATGAGCATGGAATGTTCTTCCATTTGTTTGTATCCTCTTTTATTTCATTGAGCAGTGGTTTGTAGTTCTCCTTGAAGAGGTCCTTCACATCCCTTTTAAGTTGGATTCCTAGGTATTTTATTCTCTTTGAAGCAATTGTGAATGGGAATTCACTCATGATTTGGCTCTCTGTTTGTCTGTCATTGGTGCATAAGAATGCTTGTGATTTTTGTCCATTGATTTTGTATCCTGAGACTTTGCTGAAGTTGCCTATCAGCTTAAGGAGATTTTGGGTTAAGACGATGGGGTTTTCTAGATATACCATTATGTCATCTGCAAACAGGGACAATTTGACTTTCTCTTTTCCTAATTGAATGCCCTTTATTTATTTCTCCTGCCTGATTGCCCTGGCCAGAACTTCCAACACTGTGTTGAATAGGAGTGGTGAGAGAGGGCATCCCTGGCTTGTGGCAGTTTTCCAAGGGAATGCTTCCAGTTTTTGTCCATTCAGTATGATATTGGCTGTGGGTTTGTCATAGATAGCTCTTATTATTTTGAGATACATCCCACCAATACCTAATTTATTGAAAGTATTTAGCATGGAGGTTGTTGAATTTTGTCAAAGGACTTTTCTGCATCTATTGAAATAATCGGTGGCTGGAGGGCAGCCAAGATGGCTGAATAGGAACAGTTCCGGTCTACAGCTCCCAGCGTGAGTGATGCAGAAGATGGGTGATTTCTGCATTTCCATCTGAGGTACCAGGTTCATCTCACTAGGGAGTGCCAGACAGTGGGCACAGGACAGTGGGTGCAGCGCACCATGTGCAAGCCAAAGCAGGGCGAGGCATTGCCTCACTTGGGAAGTGCAAGGGGTCAGGGAGTTCCCTTTCCTAGTCAAAGAAAGGGATGACAGCACCTGGAAAATCAGGTCACTCGCACCTTAATACTGTGCTTTTCCGACTGGTAAAACAATGGTGCACGAGGAGATTATATCCCACACATGGCTCAGAGGGTCCTATGCCCACGGAGTCTCACTGATTGCTAGCACAGCAGTCTGAGATCAAACTACAAGGCAGCAGCAAGGCTGGGGGAGGGGCGCCTGCCATTTCCCAGGCTTGCTTAGGTAAACAAAGCAGCTGGGAAGCTCGAATTGGGTGGAGCCCACCGCAGCTCAAGGGGGCCTGCCTGCCTCTGTAGGCTCCACCTCTGGGGCAGGGCACAGACAAACAAAAAGACAGCAGTAACCTCTCCAGACTTAAATGTCCCTGTCTGACTGCTTTGAAGAGAGCAGTGGTTCTCCCAGCATGCAGCTGGAGATCTGAGAATGGGCAGACTGCCTCCTCAAGTGGGTCCCTGACCCCTGAGCCCTGAGCATCCTAATTGGGATGCACCCCACAGTAGGGGCAGACTGACACCTCACACAGCCGGGTACTCCTGTGAGACAAAACTTCCAGAGGAATGATCAGACAGCAGCATTCATGGTTCATGAAAATCCGCTGTTCTGCAGCCACCACTGCTGATACCCAGGCAAACAGGCTCTGGAGTGGACCTCTAGCAAACTCCAACAGACCTGCAGCTGAGGGTCCTGTCTGTTAGAAGGAAAACTAACAAGCAGAAAGGACATCCACACCAGAAACCCATCTGTACATCACCATCATCAAAGACCAAAAGTAGATAAAACCACAAAGATGGGGAAAAAACAGAGCAGAAAAATTGGAAACTCTAAAAAGCAGAGCGCTTCTCCTCCTCCAAAGGAAGGTAGTTCCTCACCAGCAATGGAACAAAGCTGGACAGAGAATGACTTTGACGAGTTGAGAGAAGTCTTCAGATGATCAAACTACTCTGAGCTACAGGAGGAAATTCAAACTGAAGGCAAAGAAGTTAAAAACTTTGAAAAAAATTTAGACGAATGTATAACTAGAATAAACAATACAGAGAAGTGCTTAAAGGAGCTGATGGAACTGAAAGCCAAGGCTCCAGAACTACGTGAATAATGCAGAAGACTCAGGAGCCGATGCGATCAACTGGAAGAAAGGGTATCAGTGATGGAAGATGAAATGAATGAAATGAAGTGTGAAGGGAAGTTTAGAGAACAAAGAATAAAAAGAAACAAACAAAACTTCCAAGAAATATGGGACTATGAGAAAAGACCAAATCTACATCTGATTGGTGTACCTGAAAGTGACAGGGAGAATGGAACCAAGTTGGAATACACTCTGCAGGATATTATCCAGGAGAACTTCCCCCATCTAGCAAGGCAGGCCAACCTTCAGATTCAGGAAATACAGAGAATGCCACAAAGATACTCCTCGAGAAGAGCAACTCCAAGACACATAATTGTCAGATTCACCAAAGTTGAAAGGAAGGAAAAAATGTTAAGGGCAGCCAGAGAGAAAGGTCGGGTTACCCACTAAGGGATGCCCATCAGACTAACAGCGGATCTCTCGGCAGAAACTCTACAAGCTAGAAGAGAGTGGGGGCCAATATTCAACATTCTTAAAGAAAGAATTTTCAACCTGGAATTTCATATCCAGCCAAACTAAGCTTCATAAGTGAAGGAGAAATAAAATCCTTTACAGAAAAGCAAATGCTGAGAGATTTTATCACCATCAGGCCTGCCCCAAAAGAGCTCCTGAAGGAAGCACTAAACATGGAAAGAAACAACTGGTACCAGCCACTGCAAAAACATGCCAAATTTTAAAGATCATCAAGACTAGGAAGAAATTGAATCAACTAACGAGCAAAATAACCAGCTAACATCATAATGACAGGATCAAATTCACACATAACAATATTAACTTTAAATGTAAATGGACTAAATGCTCCAATTAAAAGACACAGACTGGCAAATGGGATAAAGAGTCAAGACCCATCACTGTGCTGTATTCGGGAAACCCATCTCACATGCAGAGACACACATAGGCTCAAAATAAAAGGAGGGAGGAAGATCTACCAAGCAAATGGAAAACAAAAAAAGGCAGGGGTTGCAATCCTAGTCTCTGATAAAACAGACTTTAAACCAGCAAAGATCAAAAGAGACAAAGAAGGCCATTACATAATGGTAAAGGGATCAATTCAACAAGAAGAGCTAACTATCCTAAGTATATATGCACCCAAAACAGGAGCATCCAGATTCATAAAGCAAGTCCTGAGTGACCTACAAAGAGACTTAGACTCCCACACATTAATAATGGGAGACTTTAACACCCCACTGTCAACATTAGACAGATCAACGAGACAGAAAGTCAACAAGGATACCCAGGAATTGAACTCAGCTCTGCACCAAGTGGACCTAGTAGACATCTACAGAACTCTCCACCCCAAATCAACAGAATATACATGCTTTTCAGCACCACACCACACCTATTCCAAAATTGACCACATAGTTGGAAGTAAAGCTCTCCTCAGCAAATGTAAAAGAACAGAAATTATGGCAAACTGTCTCTCAGACCACAGTGCAATCAAACTAGAACTCGGGATTAAGAAACTCACTCAAAACCGCTCAACTACATGGAAACTGAACAACCTGCTCCTGAATGACTACTGGGTACATAACGAAATGAAGGCAGAAATAAAGATGTTCTTTGAAACCAACGAGAACAAAGACACAACATACCAGAATCTCTGGGACACATTCAAAGCAGTCTGTAGAGGGAAATTTATAGCACTAAATGCCAAAAGAGGAAGCAGGAAAGATCCAAAATTGACACCCTAACATCACAATTAAAAGAACTAGAAAAGCAAGAGCAAACACATTCAAAAGCTAGCAGAAGGCAAGAAATAACTAAAATCAGAGCAGAACTGAAGGAAATAGAGACACAAAACACCCTTCAAAAATTAATGAATCCAGGAGGTAGTTTTTTGAAAGGATCAACAAAATCGATAGACCGCTAGCAAGACTAATAAAGAAAAAAAGAGAGAAGAATCAAATAGACGCAATAGCAAATGATAAAGGGGATATCACCACCGATCCCACAGAAATGCAAACTACCATCAGAGAATACTACAAACACCTCTACGCAAATAAACTAGAAAATCTAGAAGAAATGGATAAATTCCTTGACACATACACTCTCCCAAGACTAAACCAGGAAGAAGTTGAATCTCTGAATAGACCAATAACAGGAGCTGAAATTGTGGCAATAATCAATAGCTTACCAACCAAAAAGAGTCCAGGACCAGATGGATTCACAGCCGAATTCTACCAGAGGTACAAGGAGAAACTGGTACCATTCCTTCTGAAACTATTCCAATCAATAGAAAAAGAGGGAATCCTCCCTAACTCATTTTATAGATCTTTTAATTGTGGTGTTAGGGTGTCAATTTTAGATCTTTCCTGCTTTCTCTTGTGGGCATATAGTGCTATAAATTTCCGTCTACATACTGCCTTGAATGTGTCCCAGAGATTCTGGTATGTTGTGTCTTTGTTCTCATTGGTTTCAAAGAACACCTTTATTTCTGCCTTCATTTCGTTATGTACCCAGTAGTCATTCAGGAGCAGGTTGTTCAGTTTCCGTGTATTTGAGTGGTTTTGGGTGAGTTTCTTAATCCTGAGTTCTAGTTTGATTATACTGTGGTCTGAGAGACAGTTTGTTATAATTTCTGTTCTTTTACATTTAGTGAGGAGTGCTTACTTCCAATTATGTGGTCAATTTTGGAATGGGTGTGGTGTGGTGCTGAAAAGCATGTATATTCTGTTGATTTGGGGTGGAGAGTTCTGTAGATGTCTATTAGGTCCACTTGGTGCAGAGTTGAGTTCAATTCCTGGATATCCTTGTTAACTTTCTGGCCTCTTGATCCGTCTAACGTTGGCAGTGGGGCATTAAAGTCTCCCATTATTATTGTGTGGGAGTCTAAGTCTCTTTGTAGCTCACTAAGGACTTGCTTCATGAATCTGGGTGCTCCTGTATTGGGTGCATGTATATTCAGGACAGTTAGCTCTTCTTGTTGAATTGATCCCTTCACCATTATGTAATGGCCTTCTTTGTCTCTTTTGATCTTTGTTGGTTTAAAGTCTGTTTTATCAGAGACTAGGATTGCAACCCCTGCTTTTTTTATTTTCCATTTGCTTGGTAGATCTTCCTCCATCCCTTTATTTTGAGCCTATGTGTGTCTCTCCACGTGAGATGGGTTTCCTGAATACAGCATACTGATGGGTCTTGACTCTTTATCCAACTTGCCAGTCTGTGTCTTTTAATTGGAGCATTTAGCCCATTTACATTTAAGGTTAATATTGTTATGTGTGAATTTGATACTGTCATTATGATGTTAGTTGGTTATTTTGCTCATTACTTGATGCAGTTTCTTCCTAGCCTCGATGGTCTTTAAAATTTGGCATGTTTTTGCAGTGGCTGGTACCAGTTGTTCCTTTCCATGTTTAGTGCTTACTTCAGGAGCTCTTTTAGGGCAGGCCTGATGGTGATAAAATCTCTCAGCATTTGCTTTTCTGTAAAGGATTTTATTTCTCCTTCACTTATGAAGCTTAGTTTGGCTGGATATGAAATTCCGGGTTGAAAATTCTTTCTTTAAGAATGTTGAATATTGGCCCCCACTCTGTGCTAGCTTGTAGAGTTTCTGCTGAGAGATCAGCTGTTAGTCTGATGGGCTTCCCTTTGGGGGTAACCGAACCTTTCTCTCTGGTGCCCTTAATATTTTTTCCTTCATTTCAACTTTAGTGAATCTGACAATTATGTGTCTTGGAGTTGCTCTTCTCAAGGAGTATCTTTGTGGCATTCTCTGTATTTCCTGAATGTGAATGTTGGCCTGCCTTGCTAAATTGGGGAAGTTCTCCTGGATAATATCCTGCAGAGTGTTTTCCAGCTTGGTCCATTCTCCCTGTCACTTTCAGGTACACCAATCAGACGCAGATTTGGTCTTTTCACATAGTCCCATATTTCTTGGAGGCTTTGTTCATTTCTTTTTATTCTTTTTTCTCTAGGCTTCCCTTCTCACTTCATTTCATTCATCTTCCATCACTGATACTCTCACTTCCAGTTGATCGCATCAGCTATGGAGGCTTGTGCATTCATCATGTTGTTCTCGTGCCATGGTTTTCAGCTCCATCAGGTCCTTTAAGGACTTCTCTGCATTGATTATTCCAGTTATCCATTTGTCTAATTTTTTTCAAGGTTTTTAACTTCTTTGCCATTGGTTCAAACTTCCTCCTTTAGCTTGGAGTAGTTTGATCTTCTGAAGCCTTCTTCTCTCCACTCACCAAAGTCATTCTCCATCCAGCTTTGTTCCATTGCTGGTGAGGAGCTCTGTTCCTTTGGAGGAGGAGAGGTGCTCTGGTTTTTAGAGTTTCCAGTTTTTTGGCTCTGTTTTTTCCCCATCTTTGTGGTTTTATGTACCTTTGGTCTTTGATGATGGTGATGTACAGATGGGTTTCTGGTGTGGATGTCCTTTCTGTTTGTTAGTTTTCCTTCTAGCAGTCAGGACCCTCAGCTGCAGGTCTGTTGGAATTTGCTGGAGGTCCACTCCAGACCCTGTTTGCCTGGGTATCAGCAGCAGTGGCTGCAGAACAGCGGATATTGGTGAACCGCAAATGCTGCTGCCTGATCATTCCTCTGGAAGTTTTGTTTCAGAGGAGTACACGGCCATGTGAGGTGTCAGTCCTTCCCTACTGGGGATTGCCTCCCAGTTAGGCTACTCAGGGTTCAGGGGCCCACTTGAGGAGGCAGTCTGCCCATTCTCAGATCTGAAGCTGTGTGCTGGGAGAACCACTACTCTCTTCAAAGCTGTCAGACAGAGACATTTAAGTCTGGAGAGGTTACTGCTCTTTTTGTTTGTCTGTGCCATGCCACCAGAGATGCAGCCTACAGAGGCAGGCAGGCCTCCGTGAGTTGTGGTGGGCTCCACCCAGTTTGAGCTTCCTGGCCACTTTGTTTACCTACTCAAGCCTTGGCAATGGTGGGCACCCCTCCCCCAGCCTCACTGCCACCTTGCAGTTAGAGCTCAGACTACTGTGCTAGCAATGAGTGAGGCTCTGTGGGCATAGGATCCTGTGAGCCATGTGCAGGATATAATCTCCTGGTGTGCAGTTTGTAGAGCCCATTGGAAAAGTGCTTTGTTAGGGTGGGAGTGACCTGATTTTCCAGGTGCCATGTGTCACCCCTTTCTTTGACTAGGAAAGGGAATTCCCTGACCCATTGTGCCTGCCAGGTGAGGCAATGCCTCACCCTGCTTTGGCTCATGCACGGTGCACTACACCCACTGTCCTGCACCCACTGTCTGGCACTCCCCAGTGAGATGAACTCAGTACCTCAGTTGGAAATGCAGAAATCACCCATCTTCTGTGTCACTCACACTGGGAGCTGTAGACTGGAGCTGTTCTTATTTGGCCATCTTCTCTTATTGTAGTGTTAATTTGCATTTCAGTGAAGCTTCATGATGCTGAGTGCTTTGGCAATATCAAGTCTTTTTTGAAGGGCTTGCATAGTTTAGGTATGAGTCCATTGTTGGCTTTATATATATCATTTATATATGTATATGCAATTGTGTATATATGTGTATATATATATGCATATATAATACAGTTATGTAATTTTAATAACTATAAATGTAACAAAAAGTTGGAAGTACAGAGCATTTTCTCTATTTTGAACATTTGAGAGTATTTTCTGACCTAAAGTTCCAAACCTGAAATATTTTAGTATATAGCTCTTATAAGCAAGGCAATTTGACTATATAACCAAAATAAAACCTTCAAATTCAGGAAATTAATATTGATGCAATAGGGCCATCTAATCCTCATTTCCATTAGTGTTTCCTCAATAAGTACCAATGATATTCATTATATTCATTTCAGAATCCAGTTTGGAATCCTGAATGCCATTTTGCAACTAGTTGTCATGTCTCCTTAGTCAATCACAGCCTGACACAGTTCCTCAGTCTTTCCTCAACCTCCTTGACCTTGTCACTTTTGAAAAGCATAGGTTGGGAGTTTTTAAAATTTCTCTCCATTTGGGATTATCTGATGTTTTTTCATAATCAGATTCTGGTTATGCAGCTTTGGCAGGAATATCACAGAAGATGCTTTGACTTCTCATTGCAACATATCTGGTGACAAATAATTTCAATCTGTCGCATTATGGGTGATGTCTACTTTGATTTTTTATTATGGTGTCTGGTTGTGTCCTCCACCATAATGTTATTCTTCTTACATTTGTAATTAAGAAATACTTTGTGGGTAGATTCTTTGATTCTATATCTATTTGTGGGTAGATACTTTGATACTGCATAACTATAATATATAACTGTATATTCCCTATCAAGTTTTTAATGTATTCATGTATCATTATGGACATAATGATATAAATAAATCAATCACGAATTCAGTTGTGTTCAATGGGTTATAATCCATTATAACATTATTTACTTTGGTGCTCAAATTATCTTCTAATGACTGGATTCTGCGTCCCTTTTTCTTGTCCTCCTCAATTCTTAAGCAATTCCTTATTTTCTGGCAGAGCAAGAAATTCCAGGCTCATCTTTTCCTTTCCTTTTTTTTTTTTTTTGAGACAGAGTCTTGCTCTGTCACCCAAGCTGAAATGCAGTGGTGAGATCTTGGCTCACTGCAACCTCTGCCTCCTGGGTTCAACCAATCCTCCTGTCTCAGCTGAGATTACAGGCACTTACTGTAGATTCTCACTGAAGAGGGAGGAAGACTTACACTTGTGACTCCTTCCCTCTGTTCCAACTCACCAGGAGAACTGATGGCCACTGGGGACCTCAAATGCTTCATAAGAAAAATGATACTATCCCCATATCACCTCCTTGCCAAAATGCTGTCTTTGGGCTTCACCTGTTAATGTCATCATAGGCATCTTTCCCAAAAGCTTGGGTGTGGGACTTTGCTGCTTGAGGACAAAGTACAGAAGTAGCTCTGCTCAGCAGCCACAAGGGGCTGAAACAGAGTCAAGCATATCCCCAGGATTGGCATGTGGGAAGGTGTGAGAGAAGAAAGCACAGCTGAGGTCTCAGGAATTTAGGCAAGAAGTCCTGGGTCTGAGGCTCAGACCCTTCTTACACTACAAATGACAGATGAGGCTGTGCTGATTCTGAGCCTGGTCCAGAGCCACAAACATTTTCAGCAAAGCAGCTGTCAGACTCCTCAGCAGAACTGTGTCACAGATCCTTGGTGTCAGTCAGATCAAAGTTTGTAATGAGACTGTAGAAACTGCAGACTGTTTGACCACCACAGAGTCTCAGGTTTCCTGTATGTGAATCCAACATTAGGAACTGCCTGTAGTAGGCAGTTCTTGCATTGCTATGAGAAATAGCGGAGGTCACGTAAGTTGCCTCACGTCTGTAATCTCTGCACTTTGGGAGGCCAAGGCAGGTGGATCGCTTGAGTCCAAGAGTTCTATACCAGCCTGGGCAACATGGTGAGACCCCATATCTACTAAGATACAAAAAATTAGCCAGGCTTGGTGGCACATGCCTGTAATTCCAGCTCCTTGGGAGTCTGAGGCATGAGAATCACTTGGACCCTGGCAGCAGCGGTTGCAGTGAGCCAAGATCGCACCACTGCACTCCAGCCTGGGTGACGAAGTAAGACCTTGTCTCAGAAAAAAAAAAAAAAAAAGAAAGAAAGAAATACCTGAGACTGGGTAATTTATAAAGAAAAGAGGTTCAGTTTGCTCACAGTTATGCAGGCCATCCAGGAAGCATGCCGCCAGCATCTCCTTGGCTTCTGGGGAGGGCTCAGGAAGCTTTCAATCATGGCAGAGGGCAAAAGGAGGAGCTGGCATCTCACAGGGTGAAAATGAGAACAGAAGGGAGGGTGGGGGTATAGGGGAGGGATAACATTAGGAGAAATACCTAATGTAGATGACGGGTTGATGGGTGCAACAAACCAGCAGGGCACGTGTATACCTACGTAACACAACTGCACATTCTACACATGTAACTTAGAACATAAAGTATAATTTTTAAAAAATCAAAATACAGCAAATGTTAGTGTGGATGTGGAGAAAAGGGAATACTTATACACTGTTGGTGGAATATAAATTATTTCAACTTCAATGGAAAACAGTATAGAGATTTCTCAAAGAACTAAAAATAGAACTACTATTCAATCCAGCAATCTCACTACTGGGCATATACCCAAAAGAAAATAAATAATTATATAAAAACACACCTTCCTTTATGTTCTTGCAACACTATTCACAATAGCAAAGTCAGGGACCCACTCTAAATGTCCATCAATGGTTGTTCAGATAAAGAAAATGTGGTGTATTTACACCATGGAGTAACACATAGTCATAAAAAACAGAAGAATGGAATTATGTTTTTTTCAGCAACATAGAAGGAGCTGGAGGCCATTATCTTATGTGAACTAACTCAGAAACAGAAAATCAAATACCACGTGGTCTCACTTGTAAGTGGGATCTAAACAATGGGTACACGTGGACGTAAAGATGGAAATCATAGACACTGGGGACTCCAAAACTGTGGAGGACAGACTGGGGGGCAAGGGTTGGTGAATTACCTGTTGGATATAATGTTCCTCATTTGGGTAATGGGTATACTAGAAGACCAGTCCCCACCAGTACACAACATACCCATGTAAGAAATATGAGCATGTATACCCTGAATGTATAATACAATAAAATTTTTTAAAAACTAACCTATGGAATGATGCCAGATACCTTACAAGAGGATGTGGCAGTAGAAAGGATGAGAATGCCTTAGAAACAAAATTCTTTTCTATGTCTTGTTTGTAGGTTATATAAATATGTTCACTTTACATTAATCCTTTGAGCTGTACTTTTAGAATATGTGCGTATTTTTCTATGTATGTTATACTTCAATGAAAAAGCTTATATAAAAACAAAGTGTTCAGCAGAAGTAATATCTGAAGAAGTAATTACTGAGAATTTCCCAAAATTAAGGACAGACAGCAAACCACAGATCCAAGAACCTCAGAGAACACCAAGTAGGTTAGGTACCCAAAAGTCTACACCTAGGCACATCATATTCAAATGAAAAACGTAAAGACTAAGCAAAAATCTTGAAAGAAGCCAAGGGAATAAAACATCCTAGCTATCTAGGAATGAGAATAAAACTTACATCAAACATCTCTTAAAAGTTCATGCAAATAAGAAGAGAGTGAAGCAAAATATTTAAAGTGTTGGAAAACATTCTCACCCATTTTGCTTTCTGTATCCAGAAAACATCCTTTTTAACTGAAAGAGAAATAAAGACTGTCACCCACAGAAAGTTGAGAAAAGTTGTCTTTAGTTCCTGACTTGCAAGAAATGTTAAAAGAATTTCCTCAGAAAGAAGAAAATGATACAAGCCAAATACTGACCCACATAAGGAAAATAACAATGTTCGAGAAGGAGTAATTGATGGCAACATAAAACTTTTATTTTTCTTTTTTAATTATTCTGACAGATAGTAGTTTGTTCAAAATAATAATGACAACAATATACTTGGTAATTATAGCTTATGGATAGGTGGAATGAATGGCAGTAATCACATAAGGAACTGGAGGGAGGAATTAGGAATACTTTGTTACAGGTAGATGCACTACTCATGAAGCAGTGTAGTGTTATTAGAAAGTGAACTTGAATTAATTACAAATACAAATTGCAAACTATAGGGAAATTACTAAAGTAAATATTGAAATATAGTATGTTAAGAAGAGGAAATTAAATTACATAAAATGCTCATTTAAAACCATAGAAGGCAGAACAAGAACTGATGACAAAAACAGAAAAAGAACAAGGGCAATGAGTAGAAAACAGCAACTAATATGTGGTAGATATAATCCCACTATATCAAAATCACTTTAAACATAACTAAATACACCAACTAAAAGACAGAAGCTATCAGAGTAGATAAAAAACAAGGTCCAACTCTATGTATGATACCAAAAGCTTGTTCTTTGAAAATAAATTTAACAAAACTCCAGCCAGTTTCACCAAGAGAAAAAAGAGACAAGACACGTTTTAATAATGTCAGAATTAAAACAGGGGCCATCACTACTGATACCTTAGACATTAAAAGGATAATAAAGATATATTACAGGCAAGTCTCTGTCCACAAACATGGTAATTTAGATGAAACAGATTAATTTCTTAAAGACACAATCTTCCAAAACCCAGGAAAGAGGAAATGGTAATCTGATTAAATCTTTATTTACTGACTTAATTGAATCAATAATTAATAACTTCCAGAAAAGAAAGCACAAGGCTTAATTATGTTCACTCTTGAATTCCTCCAAACATTAAAGGAAAAATTTATACCAATTATCTTAATCTCTTCCAGAAAATAGTAGCAGAAATAAATATTTCTAACTCACTCTATGAGTCCAGCATTAACCTAACAGCAAAACTAGGCAAGGATATTGATAAAAAGGAACACTATTGACAAATATATCTAATCAAAATAGATGCCAAAAATTTCAACAAAATACTAACAAACTGCATTCAACAATACATAAAAATAATTATATTTCTAATCAAGTAGGATTTATTCCGGTATGCAAGGTTGGTTCAACATTTTAAAATCAACTAATGTGCTCCATCACATTATCTTGCTAAAGAAGGTAAGTCAACATGATCAAATTAACAGTTGTAGAAAAAGTCTTTGACAAAATCCAGCACTAATCCATCATAAATTATCTCCAGCAAAGTAAAGATAGAAGAAAAACCTTCTCAATTGGATAAAGAGCATCTACAAAAATCTTATAACTAACACTATTATTAAGGGTAAGAGACTTGAAACTTTCTGGCTATGAACAAGAACAAGGTAAGATATTTCCTCTCGCTACTCCTATTCAGCATCATACTAGAAATCCTAACTAATGCAATAAGAAAAAGAAACAAAAGATACACCAATAGGGAAGGAAGAACTAAAACTGTCATTGTTTGCAGATCACATGATTATCTATGTAGAAAATCCCCCCAAATTAAAAAATCTCTAAAAAAACAAAAGGAAATAAGAAAAACAAAAAACTCCAGAGACTAGCAGGCAATTATAGTAAGGTAGTAGGATGCAAGGTTACTGTGCAGCAGTCAATTACTTTCTATTTGCTAGCAATGAACAGTTGTAATTTGAAACTAAAAGCAAAGTATCATTTATATCAGCAGCAAAATATATGACATACCTAGGTATAAGTCTGTCACAATATGAAGAAGATTAAAGGAAAGTGACAAAACTCTGATGAAAGAAACCAAAAAATCTAAATAAATGGAGAGAGATTCTAAGTTCATGAAGTCTCATTATTGTTGTCAGTCATTGTCTAATCTACAGACACAATGCCGTTACAATCAATATCATGCAACTTCTTTTCTAGATATTGACAACATGATTACAAAGTTTATGTGGTGAGAACACAAATCCAGAATAGCCACTATTGAAGAACAAAGTCAGAGGATTGACCCTACTTGACCCAACTTTAAGACATTTTTTAATTACGCAGAGTATGTATTATTATTGTTATTATTTTATTTGTATACATTTATGGAATTTATGTGTAGTTTTTTTTACATACATAGATTGTGTAGTGGCAAAGTCAGGGCTATAGGGTATTCATCATGCAAATAATGTACATTGTACCCATTAACTGATAACTCATTATCCTTCCCCCTGTCACTCTTCATCTTTCTGAGTCTCCATTATCTATCATTCTGCTCTCTAAAGTCCATGTGAACACATTTTTAAGCTCCCACATATGAGTGAAAACACAATATTTGTCTTTCTGTGCCTGGCTTATTCCACTTATGATAATGACTTCCGGTTATATTAATATCACTTCAAATGACATGATTTGGGGTTTTTTTATGGCTGAATAGTATTTCATTTTGTATATATACCATATTTTTTTTAATCTGGTCATCTGTTGAACACCTGAGTGGATTCCACATATTTGATGTTGTAAATGGTGCAGTTGAAAATATACAAGTGCAGATATCTTATTGAAATATTGGTTTTTTTCTATTTGTTTAGATACCCAGTAGTGGGATTGCTGATTGAATTGTAGTCCTATTTTTAAATTCTTTGAGAAATTTCTGTACTGTTTCACATAGAGGCTGTATACTAATTTACATTCCATCCAGCAGTGTATAAGAGTTTCCTTTGTTGTGCATCCACACCAACACCTGTTATTATTTTCTTTTTAGTAATAGCCATTCTTACTGGGGTAAGACAATATCTCATGTGGTTTTGATTTGCATTTCCCTGATGATTAGTAATATTAAGCATTTTTTCCTTTTGTTCACTGATCATTATTCTGGATATTGGTCCTCTCTCAGATGAATAGTTTGTAAATATTTTCTTTCACATAACAGGTTGCCTGTTCAATCTGTTTATCTTTTTTTTCTGTGTAGAAGCTTTTTAGTTTAATTAATTCTCACTTGTCTGTGTTTTTGTTGTCTGTATTTTCAATGTCTTCATCACAAATTCTTTGCCCATACCGAATCTAGAAGGCTTTTTCTAGGATTTTTTTCTAGTATTTTTATATGTTGCACCTTAGCTTTAAATATGTAATCCATCTTGAGTTTATTATAGTATATGGTGAGAGATATGGGTCCAGCTTCACTTAACTGCATATGGCAGTCCAATTTTCTCAGCAATATTTATTGAAGATGGTGTCCTCTCCCCAAACATATGTTTGTTTTGGCTTTGTCAAAAGTTACTTGGCTGTACCTAAGTGGCTTTATTTCTAGGTTCTTCATTCTTTTCCATCAATCTAAATGTCTACTTTTATACCAGTACCATGCTGTTTTTCTTACTATGGCCTTGTACTATAATTTGAAGTCAGGTAATATAATTCCTCCAGCTTTGTTATTTTGCTGAGGATTTTATTTTGCTGTTTAGGATCTTTTGTTTTTCCATATGAATTTTAGTATTATTTTTACTAATTCTGTGAAAAAAATATGTACTTTGATAAGAATTGCATTGAATCTCTAGATTTCTTTGAGCAGTATGGATGGTTATTTTAACAATCTTGATTCTTCCTATTCATGAGCATAAGATGTTTTTTCATTTGTTTGGGTCATCTACAATTTTTTGTCAATGTTTTGCTGTCTTTCTGTAGAGATATTTTATTTCCTTTGTTAAATAGTTTTCTAGATATTTTATTTTTGTATATATTGCAAATTGGATCACCTTCTTGATTTCTTTCTCAATTAGATCATTATTTGTGTATAGAAATGCTACTGATTTTTGTAGTTTGATTTCATATCCTATAACTTTATTAAATTCATTTATCAAATCTAAGAGGTTTTTGGTGGAGTCTTTAAGTTATTTTAGATATAAGATCATATATTTAGCAAACAGGGATAATTTGACTTCCTCAATTCCAATTTGGATGCCTTCCCATTTCTTTCTCTTTTCACTCTGGTTAGGACTTTCAGTACTATGTAGAATAGGACAGGCAAAAGTGGGCATCTTTGTCTTGCTTCAGGTCTTAGTGGAAAGGCTTTCAGCTTTTCCTCACTCAGTAAGATGTTAGCTCTTTGTTTGTCACATATGGCTTTTATTGAGCTATGTTCCTTCTATGCCTAGATGGTCGAGTGTTTTTTTGTGAAGAGATGTTGAATTTTATTAAAGACATTCTCTACATCATTTGAGATGATGTTATGATTTTTGTCCTTCATTATGTTGATTTAATATATCACATATATTGATTTGTGTATGTTGAACCATCTTTGAATTTCTAACATAAAACTGAATTAATCATGGTGTATTACCATTTTGATGTGCTGTTGGATTCAGTTTACTAGTATTTTGCTGAAATTTTTGCATCTATATTGATCAACGATGTTGATCTCTACTTTTATTTTTTTGTTATGTTTATTTCTGAGTTTGGTATCAGGGTGATGCAAACCTTCTAAAATTAGTTAGGAATAATTTCTTCCTCCATTTTTTTTATAATAGCTTCAGAAGGATTGGCATTGTTTCTTCTTTGTACGTTGGTTGGAATTCAGCTGTAAATCCATTTGGTCCTGGGGTTTTTGTTGTTGTTGGGAAGTTATTTTAACACTGACTCAATCTCACAGCTCATTATTTGTCTGCTCAGAATTTCTTTTTCTTTCTCTTTAATTCTTTGGAAGTTGCATACTTTCAAAAATGTATCCCTTTCCTCTAGGTTTTCTAGTTTGTGAGCACATAATTTTTCATAATAGTCTCTGATGGCCTTTTGTATTTTGTGGTATACTTTATAATGTCTCCCTTTGCATTTTTTTTTTTTGTTGTTTATTGGGTCTTCTCTTTTCTTTTCTTGGTTAGTAAAGCTACTGGTTTATCATTTTTGTTTAACTTTTAAGAATATCAGCTTTTTATTACATTGATACCTGTGTTTTTAGAAGGATAATTTTTATTATTTTTATATACTGAAAACTCAACAGTGTACACTTAACCCAGTTTAGCAGCAAGTTCTTTAGACTTTTCCTTTTCCAGATTGGCAATGTGAGTCACAGATTTTGGACTAAGGATGTTATCTTCCCAATGATGCTAGATCTCCTCATATCTGTCCTTGTAATTGGTTCTGATAGCTTCCACCAGCTTAACCAGAGATCTTTTTTCTTCTGAGTTAACCTGTGTGATGGTGACATTGGTGCAAGTCTTTCTATAGACTACCTGCCCCAGTCTTTCCTTCCCCTTGATAATGCAGTAAGGGATCTTTATCTTATAACACAGGACAGGCAGGAAAACAACCAGCTTGATTGAATCCATGTCATGTGCAATCATCACCAGCTGAGGTATATTCTCTGTGAAGGTGGTGACAGTGTTAACCACTGCTTAAAGACAAGTTGGCTCCTAGTGGGAACATCCCCTTTGCCAGCAGCTTTCTTCTTAACCCAGGCTAACCATCTCTGTTTCTTCTCTTGTTTTGTCTCTTTTCTGTACTTGTGAGCCAGCTTAAGCAGTTAATTAAATGTTTGCTGCTCCAAGGCCTGGTGAACTGGTTTGTTCCCAGAGGCACTCTCAGTCACTTATGGAGGATAGCTGTTTGCCACTGCAACCTGATATAGTGGGGTCATTCCCAAAGTGGGTGGGGGTTTTCTTGGGCTGAATGTCCTCTCCAATGCCAAAATTCTTAGGACTTTTCTCAAACAGAGGATTCAACACCGTCTTGGCCTCCTGCTGTTTCGTGACAGCAAGGACTGGGGCTACATTATCCTCCTTGGACTTCTATCCAGAAAATAAATCATTGTATTTTTAAAAATATTTCATTCAGTTTTGTTCTCATCTTCATTATCTTTTCTTCTGCTAATTTGGAATTTTGTGTGTTCTTGATTTTCTAGTTTCTTTAGAACTAGAAATTTTTTGTTTTCCATCTTAATATTTTTGTTGCCCCAATGGTCATTCAGGAACATGCTTTTAAATGTGGATTTATTTGTATATTTTCCAGTGATGCTCTTGCTATTGATTTCTAGCTTTATTCCACTCCCTACTTTTGTCCCTGTTCTGCAACCAACAGTGCAAGTTTCCCTAATGCCTAGGAGTGGTAGTGTTGGTTCCCATGATAGCACAGTCTGTTAAAAGCTAGGATCAGAAATGGCATCTTGCTGTAGTTGCTTAGGTTTTCAAAAGGTCATGGTACCAAGAGTGAGTTCTTTCCCTGAAGCACTTCCACTACACAGTCTCTTGGCTGCTCCCTAAGTTAGATTCCGAACTCAGGCATGTCAGTGCTCTTCCATAGCCTGGATTAAACAATTCCCAGTGGGAAAGTGAACTGCAAAAATACTCATTCACCCTTTCTTCATATTAGGGTCACTTATGGCCAAGCAGCTTCTTGTTTTCCTTCTCCTTCCTAGTTTGTTTAACCTTCATGACACTTTTCTGTTGAAATTCTATGTTCCCTTTTGGATAATGTATTCAAAGTGTGACTGTCTTTACATTACTTTGGTTGTTCCAAAGAGGCACGTATACATTGCTGCTAATCAGCCATCATTTCATGGCTTCCAGGTTATGTGGTGCCCTCCTTAGGATCTCCCAGTAGCTGTAGTTTACAAGTACACAGAGTCACTTGGCCCTTTCAGAGTACGGGATACCAATCAGTGGAGGAACCTCAGTTTGGCAGGCAGACAAGAAAAAGAAAAGCTTTAAGACATATTATAAAGCTATCATATAAAACTGATAAGTGAATTCAGTGAAGCTGCAGGAGACAAACCCAATATACAAAAATCAGTAGCATTTCTATATGCCAGCAGCAAACAACTTGAAAAAGAAACCAACAAAGTAACCTTACTTACAACAGCTACAAATAAAATAAAATATCTAAGAATAAACTGAATCAAATAATTAAAAGAATTCTGCAATAAAAACTAAAAATCTCATAGTGTGTGGCATGATGGGGCAACTACAGTTAACAATTTATTGTATATTTTAAAATAACTAAAAGAGTAAAATTAGAATGTTCCTGACACAAAGATATAATAAAAGCTTGAGGTGATGAGTACCCACAATTACCCTGATTGGATCATTACACACTGTATGCCTGTATCAACACATCACATGTGCCCCATAAACATGTATATCTACTATGTATCCATAATAATTAAGAATAAAACCTTAAAATACTCTGAAACATTGATGAAAGAAGCTGAAGAGGACACAAAAAATTGAAAGATATTCCATGCTCATGGATTGGAAAAATCAATATTGTTAAAATGACCATGCTATCCAAAGTGACCTACAGATTTACTGCAATTTCTATCAAAATACTAATAAAATTCTTCACAGAAATAGAAAAAAATCCAAAAATTTATATAAAACCACAAAAGACCCAGAATACTAAACACAATCCAGAGCATAAAGAACAAAGCTAGAGGCATCAAATTACCTTATTTCAAATTACACTACAAATCTATAGTAACAAAAACAACATGGTTCTAGTATAAAAACAGAAACAAAGATCAGTGGAACAGAATAGAGGACCCAGAAATACACCCACCCATTTACAGTCAACTCACTTTTTACAAATGCACCAAGAACATTTATTGGGGAAAGGGCAGTCCCTTTAATGAATGACGCTGGGAAAGTTGGATATACACATACAGAATAATGAAACTAGGCCCTTATCTCTCAACATATACAAAAAATAAAATTAAAGTGGATTAAAGACTTAAATGTAAGTCTTTATGAAACTCCTAGAATAAAATATTGGGGAAACTCTTCAGGACATTAGTTCAGGCAAAGATTTCTTGAATAACACCTCAAAAGCACAAGCAAGAGAAGCAAAAAAAAAAAAAGTACAAATGGGATCATATCAAGCTAAAAATCTTCTGCACAACAAAGAAAATAATTAGTATAGTGAAGAGATAACCTACAGAATGGAAGAAAATATTTGCAAACTATTCAATTGACAAGGGATTAATAACAAGAAACTCAAACAACTCAACAGCAAAGAAAAGAAAGGAATAAAAAATGGGCAAAAAACTTTCCTCCCAATGTTACCACAGAATAGATGACAAAGAAATGAACAGAACAAAAAGCAGCTTAGAAGATATAACACTGAATCCAAGAGTAGACATTGCAAGGCTGTCATAACAAAATGGTATGAAGCTGGCATGGAATCTGAAGCTCATGCCCAAAGTGTAATAATAATAATAGCAGTAGTGATAGTGATGATAATAGCAGCTGTGTATGTATGTTCTCACACTGCTATTAAGAAATAGTTGAGGGGGAAGATGGCAGATAGGAGGCAGTACTAGCTTGCAGCTCCTGCTCGGATGGACAGAGCAGCATGTGGAGACTCACATGGTAAAATTTTATTCCAAGAACTACCACAAGAGCAAATCAGGAAAGCTGAGAGAATCCACAGACCCTTTGAAGGAACTGAATCGCTGCTGCAGGCTCCCTGAGTTGCCAAGAAACCATGAGTCTGCTTGCTTTCTCAGCAGGGAGGCTCATGGTGGGGCAAGTTCACAGCCCTGGTCACAGGCTACCTGGAAACAGACTCGGTGTTGTTGGGAGCAGGTGGGGATCAGTGGGAGTGAAACTGGCCTTTAGGACTGTGAGCTGTGTGGGAGCGAGGTGAGGCCTGTGACTGATGGCTTTCCCCTGGTGGCCCCCATGATTCAGCAGGGACAGCCATAATCCCCCTGGTAATATAACTCCATTGGGCTGGAAACCACACTCCCAACTCCCACAGCAGCCACAGCAAGTCCCAACCAAGAGGAAGCTGAGCTAAGAAATGTCTAACCATGCCCCCACCTGGTGGTCTTTCTCTACCTGCCCTAGTAGCCGAAGACAAAGGTCACAATCTCATGGGAGCTCTATGGCCCTGCCCACCACCTGAATTCTTAACCAGGTGTTTCTAAGGCAAGTTTGCATCCTCTCTATAGGACCACAGATGATGTGTTCTTGAAACCACCACCTCCTGGCTGGAAGCCAACCAACACAAAACCAGCACACTAAACAAAAACACAACCAAGGACCCTCACAGAGTCCATTTCAATTCCCTGCAACCTCCACCAGAGCAGGTGCTGGTATCCACAGCTGCAAAACCTGAAAGTGGATCATGTCACATGACTCATTGCTGATATTCCCCAGGACCAGCCCTGAGCCCAGTAGCTCCACTGGGTGCCTAGACCCAGAAAAGCAAAAATAGTCACTACAGTTTGGCTCTTAGGAAGCCCTATTCATAGGGAAAGGGGGAGAACACCACATCAAGCAAGCACTCTTTGGGACAAAAGAATCTGAACAGCAGCTCTTGAGCCCCAGATCTTTCCTCTGACATAATCTATCCAAATGAGAAGGAATCAGATAAACAATACTGGTAATATGACCAAACAATATTCTTTAACAGCCCCAAAAGATCATACCAGATCATCAGCAATGGAACGAAACAAAGATGAGATCTCTGAATTGCCAGAAAAAGTCATTTATTAAACTAATAAGTCATTTATTAAACTAACCAAGGAGGCACCAGAGAAAGGTGAAATCCAACTTAAAGAAATCAAAACACATGATACAAGATGTGAGAGTAAAATTCTTCTGTGAAACAGCATAAATAAAAAACAACCACAACTTCTGGAAAACAAGGACACACTTAGAGAAATGCTGGAAAGTCCCAGCAATCAAACTGAACCAGCAGAAGAAAGAACTTCAGAGCTTGAAGACAAGGCTTTTGAATTAACCCAATCCATCAAAGATAAAGTAAAAAAAAATGTAAAAAAAAAATGAACAAAGTCTCCAAGAATTTTAGGACTAGGTTAAATGTCCAAACCTAAGAATAATTGGTGTTCCTGAGGAAGAAGAGAAATCTGAAAGTGTGGAAAATATATTTGAGGGAATAATCGAGGAAAACTTTCCCAGCCTTGCTAGAGATCTAGACATCCAAATACAAGAATCTCAAAGAACACCTGGGAAATTCATCACAAAAAGATCATCACCTAGGCACATAATCATCAGGTTATCTAAAGACAAAGAAAAGAATCTTAAGAGGTCTGAGGCAAAAGCATCAGGTAACCTATAAGGAAAAGCCTATTAGATTACAAAAGATATCTCAGCAGAAACCCTACAAGCTAGAAGGGATTGGAATCCTATATTTAGTCTCCTTAAGCAAAACAATTGTCAGGAAAGAATTTTGTATCCAGTGAAACTAAGCTTCCTAAATGAAGGAAAGATATAGTCTTTTCCAGACAAATAAATGTTGACAGAATTCACCACTATCAAGGCAGCACTACACGAACTGCTAAATGGAGCTCTAAATCTTGAAACAAATCCTTGAAAATAGAACTTCCTTACAGCGTAAATCTCTCAGGACCAATATAACAATAAGATAATAAAAAAACAAGATATTCAGGCAACAAATAGCATGATGACTAGAATAGTACCTCATATTTCCATACTCACACTGATTGTAAATAACCTAAATGTCCCCACTTGAAAGATATAGAATGGCAGAATGGGTAAGAATTTACCAACCAAGTTTCTACTGTCTTCAGGAGACTAGCCTAACCCATAAGGACTCACATAAACTTAAGGTAAAAAAGGTGGAAAAAGATATTCTATGCAAATGGACACCAAAAGCAAGTAGGAGTAGCTATTCTTATGTCAGACAAAACAAACTTTAAAGCAACAGCAGTTAAAAAAGACAAAAAGGGACATTATATAATGTTAAAAGGACTAGTCCAACAGGAAAATATTACAATTCTAAATATATATGCACCTAACACTGGAGCTCCCAAATTTATAAAACAATTACTACTAGACCTAAGAAATGAGATAGATGGCAACACCATAATAGTGGGGGACTTTAATATTCCACTGACAGCACTAGACAGATCATCAAGACACAAAGTCAACAAAGAAACAATGGACCTAAACTATACCCCATAACAAATGGACTTAACAGATATTTACAGAACATTCTACCCAACAACTGCAGAAGATATGTTTTATTCATCAACACATGAAATATTTTCCAAGACAGACCATATGATAGGCCACAAAACCAGTCTCAGGAAATTTAAGAAAATTGAAATTATATCAAGTACTCTCTCAGACCACAGTAGAATAAAATTGGAAATCAACTCCAAAAGGAACACTCAAAACCATGCAAATGGAAATTAAATAACCTGCTCCTGAGTGATCATTGGGTCAACAATGAAATCAATATGGAAATTTAAAAATTCCTTGAACTGAACAATAATATTGACACAACCTATCAAAACCTCTGGGATACAGCAATGGTGGTGCTGAGAGGAGAGTTTATAGCATTAAATGTCTACATCAAAAAGTCTGAAAGAGCACAAATAGACAATGTAAGGTCATACTTTATGGAACTGGAGAAACAAGAACAATCCAAACCCAAACCCAGCAGAAGAAAAGAAATAATGAAGATCAGAGCAGGACTAAATGAAATTGAAACAAAAAAATACAAAACATAGATGAAACAAAAAGCTGATTCTTTGAGACGATAAATAAAATTGATAGAACATGAGTGAAATTAACCAAGAAAAGAAGAGAGAAGATCCAAATAAGCTCAATTAGAAATGAAACAGGAGATATTACAACTGATACCACAGAAATACATAAGGTTATTTAAGGCTAATATGAACACCTTTATGCAGATAAACTACAAAACCCAGAGGAAATGGAGAAATTCCTCATAATATACAGCACTCCTAGATTAAACAAGGAAGACATAGAATCTCTGAACAGACCAATAGCAAGCAGCAAGATGGAAATGGTGATTTTAAAAAATGCAAAAATAAAATAAAATAAAATAAAAAATGCCAACAAGAAAAAGTCCAGGATCAGATGGATTCACAGCTGAATTCTCTCAGACATTTGAAGAAGAATTGGTACCAATTCTATTGACACTATTCCAAAGATAGAGAAAGAGGGAAGCCTCTCAAATCATCCTATGAAAGCGGTATCACCCTAATACCAAAACAAGGAAAGGCCTAACAAAAAAAAGAAAACTACAGACCAACATCCCTGATAAACATAGATGGAAAAATTCTCAACAAAATGCTAGCTAACATAATCCAACAGCATATCAAAAAGATAATCCATCATGATTATGTGGGTATCATATCAGGGATGCAAGGATAGTTTAACATACATAAGTCAATACATGTGATACAACACATAAACAGAATTAAAAATGAAAATCACATGATGATCTCAATAAATGCAAATGCAGTAAAAGATTTGACAAAATCCAGCACCTCTTTATGATTAAAACCCTCAGCAAAAGCGGCATAGAAGAGACATACCTTAAGGTAATAAAAGCCATCTATGACAAACTCACAACCAACATTATCTTGAACAGAGAAAAGTTGAAAGCATTCCCCCTGAGAACTGGAACAATACAAGGAGGCCCTTTCACCACATCTATTCAAGATAGTACTGGAAGTCCTAGCCTGAGCAATCAGGCAAGAGAAAGAAATCAAGAGCATCTAATTTGGTAAAGAGGAAGTCAAACTGTTGCTGTTTGCTGATAATATGATTGTATACCTAGAAAACCCTAATGACCCCTAAAAAATCCTAGAATTGGTAAATCAATTCAGCAAAGTTTCAGGATACAAAATTAATGTACACCAATCAGTAGCTCTCTACTATGCACCCAAGCGACCAAGCAGATAATCAAATCAAGAACACAACACCTTTCAAAAGAGCTGCAAAAAAGAAAAAACCTTAGAAGTATACCTAACCAAGAACCTGAAAGACCTCTACAAGCAAAACTACAAAACACTGAAATAAATCATACGCAACACAAACAAATGGAAACACATCCCATGCTCATGGATGAGTAGATTTGATATTGTGAAAATGACCATACCGCCAAAAGCAATCTACAAATTCAATGTAATTCCCATTAAAACACCATCATCATTCTTCACAGGGCTAGAAAAAACAATCCTATGATTCATATGGAACCAAAAAGGAGCCCACATAGCCAAAGACTAAGCAAAAAGAACAAATCTGGAAGCATCACATTACTAATTCCTAAAAAGCAAAGTTTAGACTAGTTGATTTCATAGATCCCATCTATCTTTAAATTACCTGTGTTTCTTTTATTCTATAAAACAAATGATCTAGTTGGGAACCCAGCTCCACAGAAGGGAGGAGAAGCAGAACAGGGACACCTGTCTCTCAAGAAATGAAAGACTTGCTCCAAAGAGAGCAACTGGCTTATTGTTATCCAAATAAGCTGGTGTAGCTCCTTTAGAGTTTATAGTTATGTGGATCGGGCAGTAAATTACTGCTTTACTTTGCCCTGGATAAAGAATTTACAAGACCTGGACTCACTCAAGTACAAAAGGTTACAAAAGAAAACTCTTCCAACCCATATTTTAGTCAAGTAGTACTGGAATTATTAACTAAATTAATGGGTATTTTTAAATTTAATTATTAGACTGAATCTTCTAAATATTGAGTCATAGTAAATCATCAGTAACTCTTGGTTAACCTGGATGAACTGAATGTTTTACTTGGAGGGAAAGCTGCAAGATGCAAGGGTTGTGGATTTCTGCCTCAGTTCTTCCATCTGCAATCAGTCTGTCCTTGGTCAAAGTACTGAATCTCTGAGGTTCAATATTCTTCTCTCTAAAACAGAAATAATTTTGCCTTAGGCAAAGATAATTAAGAGAATCAAAAGGGATACAATGGGTGTAAAAATTATCTGTAAATTGTCAGAAAGTTTGTAAACATGAGCTACATTAAGTAACTGTGTCATGACATAATTTTTCTTAATAAAAGAGCTGGAAATAACCATGCTAGTCATTTAAAACAAATATGCTGATATCTTTACAGAATGTGCCTTTGCACAAACATTGTCATTAATGATAGAGTAATGTATTTAATTCTAAGTGTATTATAATCTTCATGACCACTAAATATCATCTCCTGTTCAGGTCTGCACCTTCTGGTGGTTCTATACTCAGGGCCATTTAATGATTTTCCTACTTCCCATCCTCTACTGGATCTAAAAGTGTTGTTCTGTGTGTAATTTCTTTCCTTACTGCATGTTACTACTTTCTATTATTTGTGACAATGACAGACCGAAAACAACAAAAGCGGTCATGTCTAGATGTGACTGGGAGATGGAGAAGTCATAGTTTCTCAAGCTCTCTGCAGTAAATTATTGGAGATTGGTCCTTCACTCAGTTGTGCTAAGCAAGTTTCTCCTATGCAGTGATGGGAGAATAAAAGATAGGGAGAACCCTATCTTTTGTTTCTTCTCTTGAGCATCTCTGGTCCTGTTAACCCTGGAGTCAAATAAGGGGTTTCTCTTTGATGTGAAGCCTGGTTGCCATATGAATAGTATCAATGTGGTGTGTATTCAGAGTAACTAATGTTTGGGGGTTTGTTCTGTTTTCATAAAATTGTTCTTGAGGCAGCTCTGGTGTAAGTGACAATGCACCACAATTGACATCGGAACATCTCAGCTCAAATCTCAGTTTTCCCAGGTATGAATGGTGTGGTACTGACAGGTCTCCCCTTCTCCCAGAGCCTACCTTTTCCCATTTGAAAAAGAAAAAAATGATAATCTCTGTCTTCCAACATTTTCTTTTGTTTAATGGTGAAATGTATATAAATTTATTAGCTAATAACATGACATAACATTTGGTAATTAAAGATGTATGAGTTATGATAGCTATTTCATGTTTAGGTCACTATTATGTTAGTAAAGTATATTTAATGTCTGAAAGGCTTTTATTATCCAGGACTAATATCCTAATATTTGATTTATACAAGGCATAAAATGCACTGATTTCCCTCAAAGTCATAAATTCACAACTGGCTATTAATCTGAGAATTCAGATTTTTGAGTAACTATTTTGCATGAAATCATTTATGTTAGTGCTTCTTAATTATAACTTCACACTGGAACAACCAGGTTCTATTTTCATTACCAATACCTCAGCCCCACCCAGTGCAATTAAATAAAAATGTCCAAGGAGAGCTCTGGATAAAAGGAGAATAAGGCCACAGAACATTTTATTTTTATTTCTGTCAGAAGGTCAAGGCCCACTCAGAAAAGACAATAAGTGAATTTAGGTGATTGGTCACTTTATATGTCAAAGAGGCACACACTGAATTAGCAGGCAGTGTTATAGATGTCTTGAAGTACAAGCTCATAGTTGCCTTAGTAAGAAGAGAAGCCTTCATTGGATCTGGCTGCGGTACTGATGCTCTGTCTTTCCTGTTTGCTTCTCCTTTCACTGTGAACACAGATCTCTGGGAGAGGGAAGCTCCCTTCTGATTCCACTCCTCTCCAAGTTATTGAAAGTATCCTACAGATGGCTGATAAGGATATCTGCAAATCTAGTAGCAATTTAAGTACGCTTTATGTTTCTCCAGTGACTCACAAAGGATGAGTAAATTGACCCCTTTTTAAAAATAAAATATATTTCAGGAGACCCACTATTATAATAGACCTTTGGAAAGGAAATTACTCCATATAAACGATGATGTTTCTGTTGCCTTTTCTAATCTCTCATTGTCAGAAATAGTGAAATAAGTTGTTACTGCATTTTGTGAGTAGAAAAACATTTAGGCCCTTGTATAGAATAAAAATAATAAAATGGCAAAATTTGGGACTGCCACACTCTTTCTTTTTTTATAGTCACTTACTATGATTGTTAGCTGAAGGTAAATGCTAAGAAAAAATGTGATTCAAGATTTCATTCAGTAAATCATCTACAATCTTAGCTATGTGTTTTATTCAGAATTGCCATGAAAAATGAACTTTGCTGAAGCATCATTTTATGCCTGATGTCAAGGAAACAGCTATGTGTTCAAGAACAGCATAAATGCATGAAAGAAGTAATAAGTCAGGGCTCAATTATTGGTACAGAATTTTGAGAAGTTCTTTGCAAAGTGGCTACCTGTGACCAATAATGCTAGACGGTGGAAGAAACTGTTTTTCCAGGAGATGCTGCATGTCCTGGTTCTGCCTCCTTGGTGCTCACTCTTTTTGTGATAACAATACCAGCTGTAACAAACTGGGATGGGCATTAAAATTACAGGGGGTGAATTATTTTTACTTTATATTTTATTGCTTTATAATATTTGTAAATTTTTATGGGGTACATGTGATATTGTGTTACATGCATGGAATGTGTAATGATTAAGTCAGTGTTATACACCTCAAGTATTTATCAAGTATTTATCATTTCTATATTTGGGCAATATTTAAGTCCTCTCTTCTAGTTATTTTGAAATATGTAATATGTTATTGTTAATTATAATCACCCTACTGTTCTATTGAACATTAAAATTTATTTATTTTATCTCACTGCATGTTTTTACCCATTAAGCAAACACTCCACCTACACTTCCCACCCTTAACATTTCCTGGTAACTATTATCCTACCTTCTACCTCCATGAGATCAACTTTTTTAGTTTCCATGTATGAGTGGTAACATGGCTTATTTGTGTGCCTGGCTTATTCCACTTAACATAATGACCCCAAGTTCCATTCATGGTGCTGCAAAAAACAGGATTGCATCCCTTTTTATGGCCAAATAGTATTCCACTGTGTATATACCACATTTTTTTCTTCAACTTTTATTTTAAGTTCAGGGGTATATGTGCAGAATATGTAGGTCTGGTACATAGGTAAACATGTGCCATGGTGGTTTGTTGCACACATCATCCCATCACCTAGGTATTAAGCCCAGTGTCCATTAGCTATTCCTGAAGGTTTGCCTCTTCTCAAACCCCTCGGACAGACCCAAATGTGTGTTGCTCCCCACCATGTGTTCATGAGTTCTCATCATTCAACTCCCACTTATAAATGAGAACATGCATATACCACATTTTTTTATCCATGCATCTGTTGTTGGACATGTATTATTTCCATATCTTTGCTATTGTGAGTAGTGCTGCAAAAAATATGAGACTACAGGTATCCCTTTGATATACTGATTTTCTTTCTTTTGGTTATATACCTAGTGGTGAGATTGCAGGATCATATGGTAGTTCTATTTTTAGTTTTTTGAGAAATCTCCATGTTGTTTTCCATAATGGTCGTAGTAATTTACATTCCGAAAAACAGTATATGAGTTCCCTTTTCTGTCCATCTTCCCCAGCTTCTGTTACTTTCTCTCTTTTTAGCAATAGCCATTCTAACTGGGACAAGATGATATCCCATTGTGGTTTTGAGTTGCAGTTACCTCATGATTAGTGACTTTGAGCATGTTTCATATATATTTTGGCTATTTGTATGTCTTATATTGAAAAATGTTTATTCATGTTCTTTGCCCACATTTTAATGGAATTATATGTATTTCGCTGTTGAGTTATTTAGTTCCTTGTGTTTTCTGGATATTATCCCTTTTTCAGATGAATAGTTTGCAGATAATTTCTGTGATTCCACATGTCTCTTTTTTGATTTTCTCCTTTGCTGTGCAAAAGTGTTTTACTTTACTATAGTCCCAATTGTCTAGTTGTGTTTTTGTTGCCTATGCTTTTGACATCTTAGTCATAAAATATTTGTCTGGACCAATGTCCTGTACTATTTCCCTTGTTTTCTTTAAATAGTGTTATAGTTTCAGGTCTTACATTTAGGTCTTTAATCATTTTGAGCTAATTTTTTATATGGTGAGAGATAGGAATCTGGTTTCATTCTTCTGCATATAGATATCCAGTTTTGCTAGCACCACTCACACTTTCCCCAAGATATGTTCTTGATGCTTTTGTTGAAAATCAGTTGGCTGTAAATATATGGATTTATTTCCAGTTTCTCTATGCTGTTCCATGGGTCTGTGTATCTATTTTTATTTTATTTTTTTTTTTTTTGAGACGGAGTCTCGCTCTGTCGCCCAGGCTGGAGTGCAGTGGCGGGATCTCGGCTCGCTGCAAGCTCCGCCTCCCGGGTTCACGCCATTCTCCTGCCTCAGCCTCCCAAGTAGCTGGGACTACAGGCGCCCGCCACTACGCCCGGCTAATTGTGTATCTATTTTTATACTGATATCATGCTGTTTTGGTTACTATAGTCTTGTAACATATTTTGAGGTGTGGTAGTATGATTCCTCTAGCTTTTTTCTTTTCTTGGTTAAAATTACCTTGGCTGTTAGGCTCTTTTTTGGTTCCATACAAATTTTAGGGTTGCTTTTTCTATTTCTATTGAGAACGTTATAGGTATTTCTGTAGGGATTGCATTGAATCTGTGGATTACTTTGTGTAATGTGGTCATTTTAACAACATTAATTATTTCAATCCCTGGGCACGGAATAGTTTTCTATTTATTTCTGTCATCTACAGTTTCTTACACCAGTGTTTTGTAGTTTTTCTTATAGAGGTCTTTTACCTCTTTGGTTAAATTTATTCCTAGGTAATTTTTGCAGATATTCTAACTAGGATTGCCTCTGATTTCTTTTTTAGCTATTTTATTATTGGTATATAGAATTGCTGCTGATTTAGCTGGTTAGAAGTTCCAGTCCTATGTTGTGTAGGAGTGGTGAAAGTAGGCATCCTTGTCTTGCTCAGTTCTTAGAGAAAAGGATTTCAGCTTTTCCCCATTTGATATGGCATTAGCTGTGGATTTGTCATATATAGGTTTTATTATGTTGAGATATGTTCCTTCAATGCCTACTCTGTCAACCGTTTTTATCATAAAGGGATACTAAGTTTTCTCAAATGCTTTTTCTTTGTCTGTAGAAATGATCACATGGTTTTTGCCCTTCATCCTGCAGATGTAATGTATCACATTTATTGATTTGTGTATGTTGAACCATTTTGTGTGCCTGGAACCAATCCCACTTGATCATGGTGTATTATCTTTTTTTTTTTTTTCAGATGGAGACTTACTCTGTTGCCCAGGCTAGAGTGCAGTGGTTTGATATCAGCTCACTGCAACCTTCACCTCCTGGGCTCAAGCAATTCTCCTGTCTCAGTCTCCCAAGTAGCTGAGACTCCAGGGGTGCACCACCACACTTGGCTAATTTTTGTATTTTTAGTAGAGAGGGGGTTTCACCACGTTGGCCAGGTGGTCTCAAACTCCTGACCTCAGGTGATCCACCTATCTCGACCTCCCAAAGTGCTGGGATTACAGGAGTGAGCGACCATGTCCAGCCTGACCATGCTATAACATCTTTTTGATGTGCTGTTGGATTTGGTTTTCTAGTATTTTGCTGAGAATTTTTGTATCTATGTTCATTAGGGAGATTGTCCTGTAATTTTCTAAAAATAAAGATTTCTAATGTACATCACAGTTCTACTGTGTCATGATCTTTATGGGAAGAACATTACACATGACCCTGAAGTAGACTGTCTTGGTATTATTTCAAGATTACTAGAAGTCCTGGCCAGAGCAATCAGGCAAGAGAAAGAAATAAAGGGTATTCAAAGAGAAAGAGAGGAAATCAAATTGTCTCTGTTTGCAAATGACATGATTGTATATTTAGAATACCCCATCACCCCAGCCCAAAAACTCCTTAAGCTGATAAACAACTTCAGCAAATTCTCAGGATATAAAATCAATGTGTAAAAATCACAAGCATTTTTATACACCAATGATAGACAAACAGAGAGCCAAATCATGAGTGAATTCCAATTCACAACTGCTACAAAGAGAATAAAATACCTAGGAATACAACTTACAAGGGATGTAAAGGACCTCTTCAAGGAGAACTACAAATCACCACTCAAGGAAATAAGAGAGGACACAAACAAATGGAAAAACATTCCATGCTCATGGATAGGAAGAATTAATATCATGAAAATGGTCTTTGTACCCAAAGTTATTTATGCATTCAATGCTACTATTCCCATCAAGCTACCATTGACTTTCTTCACAGAACTAGGAAAAACTATTTTAAATTTCATATGGAACAAAAAAGAACCTGTATAGCAAAGACAATCCTAAGCAAAAAGAGCAAAGCTGGAGGCATCATGCTACCTTACTTCAAACAATACTACAAGCCTGCAGTAACAAAAACAGCATGGTACTGGTACAAAAACAGATATATAGGCCAATGGAACAGAACAGAGGCCTCAGAAATAACACCACACAGCTACAACCATCTGATCTTTGACAAACCTGACAAAAACAAGCAATGAGGAAATGATTCCCTATTTAATAAATGATGCTGGAAAAACTGGCTGAAGAAAACAGAAACTGGACCCCTTCCTTACACCTTATACAAAAATTAACTCAAGATGGATTAAAGACTTAAATGTAAAATCTAAAACTGCAAAAAGCCTAGAAGAAAACCTCAACAGTGACATTCAGGACATAGGCATGGGCAAAGACTTAATGACTAAAACACCAAAAGCAATGGCAACAAAAGTCACGATTAACAAATGGAAGCTAATTAACCTGAAGAGCTTCTGCTCAGCAAAGGAAACTATCATCAGAGTGAATAGGCAACCTACAGAATGGGAGAAAATTTTTGCATTCTATCCATCTGATAAAGGACTAATATCCAGAATATACAAGGAACTTAAACAAATTTACAAGAAATAAACAAAAAACCCCACCAAAATGTGGGAGAAGGATATGAACAGATATTTCTCAAAAGAAGACATTTATGCAGCCAACAAACATATGAAAAAAAGCTCATCATCACTGGTCATTAGAGAAATGCATATCAAAACAACAATGAGATACCATCTCATGCCAGTTAGAATGGCGATCATTAAAATGTCTGGAAACAACAGATGCTGGCAAGGATGGGAAGAAATAGGGACGCTTTTACACTGTTGGTGGGAGTGTAAATTAGTTCAACTATTGTGGAAGACAGTGTGGCGATTCCTCAAGGATCTAGAACCAGAAATACCATTTGACCCAGCAATCCCATTACTGGGTATATACCCAAAGGATTATAAACCATTCTACTATTAAGATATATGCACCGTTACGTTTATTGCAGCACTGTTTACAATAGCAAAGACTTGGAAACAACCCAAATGCTGATAAATAATACACTGGATAAAGAAAATGTGGCACATATACACCATGCAATGCTATGCAGCCATAGAAAAGGATGAGATCATGTCCTTTGCAGGGACATAGATGAAACTGGAAACCATCATTCTCAGCAAACTAACACAGGAACAGAAAGCCAAACACCGCATGTTCTCACTCATAGATGGGAATCGAACAATGAGAACACTTGGACTCAGGGTGGGGAACATCACCTCTGGGGCCTGCCGTTGGGTGGGAAGCAAGGGGAGGGAGAGCATTAGGAGAAACACCTAATGCATGTGGGGCTTAACACCTAGATGCTGCGTTGATAGGTGCAGCAAACCACCATGGCACGTGTATCCCTATATAACAAACCTGCACGTTCTGAACATGTATCCCAGAACTTAAAGTAAAATAAAATAAAATAAAAATACCATCCTTTATTATTACTAAAATCTTGCCTTTGTAAAATTGGTAATAATTTTCATCTCATAGAAATATGTGAGGATTAAAAATGATGCTACTTTTGAATTACAATAAATATTAGTAACTAAAAAAAATTACCTTGAGGTTACTGATAATTTGCTCAAGCGTCAGAGTTTGAACATAGTTTGAATAAGTAGAGATTCAAATATGGATCTTCTATATATCACCTGTAGGACTCTGAAAATGAATTTGAAATTCTCTGACCTCAGTTTCTTTATTTGCAAAACAAGGCAAATAAACGTGCTGAGAGTATTGATGTGAGGATTCATTTTAATCTGTCTACTGTTTGGGCTATTTCATGGCACATTGTAGGCCACCCATAAGTGGCAACTATAGTAATCATCATCAAATATATATATATATATATATATATATACACACACACACACACACACACACACATATATATATATACATATATAAATTTCAGGAATATTTAAGATTGTTCATTATAAAATAAAATATTTACAAAATACAATGGTAATAACAGTCTGAATTAAGTATAGTATATGAACCAAATAGTGATTTGTTTTATTGTTATTTCCATCTCCTTTCCCAGTTCTCAAAAGTCTATGTCCCAGTGTTCACTGTATTTTGACATGAAGCTTGTCTTGGTGTTGCATGGATATGAAGTGTTGAAGAAAGCTCTAATTCATCATGGGGAGGAGTTTTCTGGAAAAGGTATTTTCCCAGTATCCAAAAAAAAAACTAGTAAGTAGTTGGTAGGTGTTTGTGTACCTTTTGTCTGTATTGGTAATGAGGCAGAAGGGGAATGGAAAACAGGCACTTGAAGAGCTCCTAAAACAGAGTTTGGCCCACCCATGTGGCTGTTGAAAATCAGTTCCCTCTTTCTTGGATGAGAACTCCCTCCTTGTTTCTGTTTCCTTCCTGTTAGTATCATTTTTAGCAACAGAAAGCCATGTAAGGAGATCTGGCCCTTCTTGCTCATGACCCTGTGGAATTGTGGGGTGGTAAAGAGGAGCACTGGGGAAGCATGTTCAAGTGGAAGCCCACTGTATTGTGTGGGAGTTGAGAAGAACCAAGGGTGGATAACTCTACTCTGCATCACTGACCTTAACAGTCAGCTATCTTCACAGATGACACTGGAAACATTTCAGTGGTGATCTGATCTTTCATTATAGATGGTGGTTGTCAGCCCTGATGTAGAGGAGGGATTATTTGGAGCAGAGAACCAAAAGAGCTGCTGTGTACCTGTCCTGTGTTTACACAGGAATAAAGGTGCATACAGTGTGGGTAAACAAGGTCACTTAATCCTTTTGTCTCAACTTTGTTTCCTTCTTTTCAAATCAGAAATCATGAACACAAGATTTGAGTTCCTTTTCAGAAAGATTTAAAATACTATTCTTTCTCTATAGCATAAATGTGGTTTACCTCTTCCAGAACACTTCACCAGAGAATACTTAGAAATATACTTCACTTGAGAATACTTCTCAACAGAATACTAGCTAACATAATTCAACAGCCTATCAAAAAGATAATCCATCATGATTAAGTGGGTATCATACCAGGGATGCAAGGATGGTTTAACATATGCAAGTCAATAAATGTGATACACCACATAAACAGAATTTAAAACAAAAATCACATTATTATTTCACTAGATGCTGAAAAAGCATTTGACAAAATCCAGCATCGCTTTATGATTAAAAGCCTCAGCAAAATCAATGTAATAAAAGCCATCCATGGCAAACCCACAGCCAACATAATACTGAATGGGAAAAAGTTGAAAGCATTCTCTCTGAGAACTGGAACAGGACAAGGATGCCCACTCTCACCACTCCCCCTCAACACAGTACTAGAAGTCCTAGCCAGAGCAATAAGACCAGAGAAAGAAATCAAGGGCATCCAAATCAACAAAGAGGAAGTCAAACTGTCACTGTTTGCTGACAATATGATCGTTTACCTTGAAAACCCTAAAGACTCCTCCAGAAAGCTCCTGGAACTGATAAAAGAATTCAGCAAAGTTTCCAGATAAAAGATTAATATACACAAATCTGTAGCTCTTCTATACACCACAGTGACCAAGCAGAGAATCAAATCAAGAAGCCAATCCCTTTTACAACAGCTACAAAAAAATTAAAATTCTTAGGCATATACCTAACCAAGAAGTCGAAAGGCCTCTGCAAGGAAAACTACAAAACACTGCTGAAAGAAATTGTAGATGAGACAAACAAATGGAAACACATCCGATGCTCAGAGATGGGTACAATCAATATGGTGAAAATGACTATACTGCCAAAAGCAATCTACAAATTTAACACAATTCCCATCAAAATACCACATCATTCTTCACAGAACTAGAAAAAAAATTCTAAAATTCATATAGAACCAAACCAAAAAAGAGCCCACATAGCCAAGGCAAGACTAGGCAAAAAGAAGAAATCTGGAGACATCACACTACCTGATTACAAACTACACTATAAGGCGATAGACACCAAACAGTGTGATACTGGTATAAAAATAGGCAAAGAGAAAAATAGAACAGAACAGAGAGCCCAGAAATAAACCCAAATGCAGCAAACTGATCTTTGACAAAGCAAACAAAAACATAAAATAGGGAAAGGACACCCTTTTCAACAGATGGTGCTGGGGTAATTGGCTAGCCACATGTAGGAGAATGAACCTGGATCCTCATCTCTCACCTTATACAAAAATCACCTCAAGACGGATTAAGGACTTCCATCTAAGATCTGAAATTCTAGAAGATAACACTGAAAAAAAAAAAACACTTCTAGATGTTGGCTTAGGCAAGGATTTCATGACCAAGAACCCAAAAGCAAATGCAATAAAAACCAAGACAAATAGTTGGGACTTAATTTAACTGAAGAGGTTTTGCATGGAAAAAGGTATAGTCAGCAGAGTAAACAGACAACCCACAGAGTGGGAGAAAATCTTTGCAATCTAGACATCTGGCAAAGGACTAATATCCAGAATCTACAACAAACTCAAACAAATCAGTAAGAAAAAAACAAACAATCCCAACAAAAAGTGGGATAAGGACATGAATAGACAATTCTCAAAAGAAGATATACAAATGGCCAACAAACTTATGAAAAAATGCTCAGCATCACTAATGATCAAGGAAATGCAAATCAAAACCAGAATGTGATACCACCTCACTTCTGCAAAAATGGCCATAATCAAAAAATTAAAAATCCGTAGATGTTGGCGTCGATGAGGTGATCAGGGAACACTTCTACACTGGTGTTGGGAATGTAAACTAGTACAACCATGGAAAACAGTGTGGATCTTCCTTAAAGAACTGAAAGTAGAACTACCATTTGATCCAGCAATCCCACTACAGAGTATCTACCCAGAGGAAAAGGTCATTATATGCAAAAGATACTTGTGCACGCATGTTTATAGCAGCACAATTCACAATTGCAAAATTGTGGAACCAACACAAATGTCCATCAATCAACAAATGGATAAAGAAATTGTGGTATATATTTTTATGATGGAATACTACTCAGCCATAAAAAATGAGTGAATTAACAGTATTTGCAGAAACCTGATGAGATTGGAGACTATTACTCTAAGTGAAGTAGCTCAGGAATGGAAAACCAAACATTGTATGTTCTCACTGATATGTGGGAGCTAAGCTATAAAAATCCAAAGGCATAAGAATGATACAATGGACTGTGGGGATTTGTGGGGAAGGGTGGGAAGGGGGGTGAGGAATAAAAGACTACAAATATGGTGCCGTGTATACTGCTCGGGTGATGGATGCACCAAAATCTCACAAATCACCACTAAAGAACTTACTCATGTAACCAAATACCACCTGTACCCCCAATAACTTATGAAAAAAATAAAAAATAAAGATAATTTTACATCTTCCATTTGAATTTGGATCCCCTTCATATCTTTCTCTTGTCTGATTGCTCTAGCTAGGACCTACAGTACTATCTTGAATAACAATGATGACAGTGGGCATCTTTATTGTGTTTCAGAGCTTAGAGAAAAGGCTTTCAGTTTTTTTCCCCATTCAATATGATACTAGTTGTGTGTCTGTTGTATATGGATTTTATGTTGAGGTATGTTCCTTCTATCTCCAGTTTTTTGAGGGTTTTTTTCATGGAGGGATGTTAAATTGCATCAAATGCTTTTTCAACATCAATTGAAATGATTATATGGTTTTTAACGCTTTGCTCTGTGAATATGATGTATCACATTGATTGATTTGAGGGATAAATCCTACCTGGTCATGATGAATGATCTTTCTAATGTATTGTTGAATTCACCTTGCTAGTATTTTGTAGAGGATTTTTGCATCAATATTCATCAGAGATATTGACCTATAGTTTTCTTTTTTAATGTGTCTTTGTCTAATTTTCGTGTCAGAGTAATACCAGACTCATAGAATGACTTTGGAAGTCTTCCCATATCCTGTTTCTTGGAATCTTTTGAGTAGAATTGATATTAATTCTTCTTTAAATGTTTGGTAGAATTCAGCAGTGAAGTTGTCAGGTCCCAGGCCTTTCTTTAGTGGAAAACTTTTATTATGGCTTCCATCTTGATACTTGTTATTGATCTGTTCAGGCTTTTTTATTTCTTCATGGTTCAGTCTTGGTGCATTCTATATATCCAGGAATTTGTTTATTTCTTCTAGATTTTGTAATTTATTGGCATATAATTGCTTATAGTAGCCACTAATGATCCTTTGAATTTCTTTGGTATCAGTTGTTACATCTCCTTTATTTCTGATTTCATTCATTTGGATTTTCTAACTTCTTTTCCTACTTAGTCTGGCTAATGATTCATCTTTTTTTTTAACTTTTTGAAAAACCCAACTTTTTGTTTTATTGATCTTTTTTATTGTTTTCTGGTTTCAATTTCATTTATTTCTACTCTGATCTTTATTAGTTATTTTTGACTACTAATTTTGGGCTTGGTTTGCTCTTGCTTTTCTAGTTCCTTAAGATGCATAATTAGATTTTTTATTGAAGTTTTTCATCATTTTGATGTAGGAACTTGTAACTATAAACTTCCCTCTTAGTACTGTCTTTGCTGGAGCCCCTAGATTTTGGTATGTTGTGTTTCCATTGTCAGTTATTTCAAGAAACTTTTCACTTTCCTTTTTCATCTCTTCATGGACTCACTAGTCATTCAGGAGCAAACTGTTTCATTTCTATGTATATGTATAGTTTCCAAAATTCCCCGTGTTATTGATTCCTAGTTTTATCCCATTGCAGTCAAAAAAGATACTTGATATACTTTCAAATTGTGTGGATGTTTTAAGAATTGTTTTGTGACCTAACATATAGTCTATCCTTGAGAATGATCCATGTGCTGAAGAAAAGAATGTGTATTCTGTAGCTCTTGAATAAAGTGTTCTGTAAATACCTATTATATATATTTGTTCTATAGTGCAGATTCAGTCTGATGTATCTTTATTGATTTTCTGTCTGAAATTCTGTACAATGTTCAGAGTGCGGAGTTGAAGCCTCCTCCTATCATTGTATTGGGGCCTATTTCCCTCTTTAGCTCTAATATTTTCTTTATATATCTGGCTGCTTCAGTGTTGGGTGTGTATATATTTAAAATTGTTATACCCTCTTGCTGAATGAACCCTTTATCATTATATGATGACCTTCTTTGTCTCTTACAGTTTTTGTGTTGAAATCTGTTTTGTCTGATATAAGTATAGCAATGCTGCTCCTTTTTCATTTTCATTGACTTGGAATATCTTTTTCCATCTTTCTGTTTTCAGTCTATGTGCGTCTTTATAGGTGAAATATGTTTCTTTTAAGCCACAGATCAATGGGTCTTTTTTAATCCATTTAGCCACTCTATGAAGTTTGATTGAACAGTTTAGTCCATTTACATTCAATGTTATTATTGATAAGTAAGGACTTAACCCTGCCATATTGTTATTTGCTTTTGTTTGTTTTTTGGTCTTTTCCTCCCTCTTTTTTTTTTTCTTGTCTTCCTTTTAATGAAGGTTATTTTCTCTAGCCATATAAGTTAGTTTCTTGCTTTTAACTTTTGTGTCTCCATTGTACTTTTTTTTTGAGGTTACATGGAGCTTGCAAATACTATCTTATAACCCATTATTTTAAGCTGATATCAACTTAATATTGTGTACATTTAAAAAAAGCAAAAAGAGAACTAAAATAAGACTATACACCTTAATTTCATTTCCCCCATATTTAAAATCCTTTTTGGTTGCTTTTGAGATTGTCTTATGGTTGGCTTTATACATTTTATTTATGGGGTACATTCGTGTAAATTTCTTTATGTTTCTTGTACTTAGAGCTTGTTGAGTTACTTGGATCTTTTGGCTTATAGTTTTAATCAAATTTGAAGAAAATATAGCCATTATATTTCACATACTTTTTTTACCCACATTTATGAGCTATGATTGCATATTTTTAAATTTAATTGAAGTTGTCCCCCCACTTATTTATTTTTTGGTCATTTTATTTCAGTCTTTTTTTCTCTTTGTTTAATTTAAGATAGTTTTTTCTCTTATGTCTTCGAATTCACTTATCTCTTTTGTAGTTTCTAATCTGCCCTTAATTATATTCAGTGTGCTTTTCATTTCAGACCTTGCATTTTTTTTCTCTAGGTTTTCAATCTGTGTTTTTTTTTATGTATCCCCTTTGATGAGTAGTATGGCCAGTCTTCCCTCTGTTTTCTTGAACATACGAAATCTAGATATTCAGTTATAACTATCTTATTTTCCTTGTCATGAATTCAATCATCGTGTAATTTTTAAACCTACTTGTATATATTACTTTTTTTCTCATATCTTCACTTTTGCTTGCATGTCTGATAACTCTCCTTTGGATAAAAACCATTGTGATTTTATGTTAAGGCTGCAGAAAATTCATATGATCTTATAAATATTTTTCTGTATTCTTCTGAAATGTATTTAAGTCATTAGAAACCAGTTTTATCCTTATGAGAGCTGTATTTAAACTTTATTAGAACACACAAGAGCAGCTGTTAGCCTATGGATTTTCCCCCCTTTACTGAGGCAATATGCTTTGAGCACTCTACCTGATATCCAATGAATTAGAGGTCTTTCTCTCTGGAGGATGGTCAGAGGAATTATTACTAGCACTGTGTAAGCCCTTGTGTTGTTTCCTGTGCTCTTTTAATTGGGGGGGGCATTAGTTTTATTTATTTATTTTTTAAATGTTACAAATTTATTTATTCTTTTTTTATTTTTCCATAAGTTGTCAGGGTACAGGTAGTATACTGCTGAGGGGAATTCAGCCAGAATTGTTTGGAGGACAGTCCAGCCACTGGCCAGCCCTACTCCAGGGGAAGACCACCTTCCCAACCATCTCCCTTCTAACTCCTCACTCACCTCTATAGGAGCTACCATCACCACACAATAAAACTTTGCATTCATCCTCCAAACCCACATGTGATCTGATTTCTCCAGTAACTAGGGCAAGAACCTGGGATACAGAAAGCCCTCTGACCTTGCGATAAGGCAGAGGGTCTAATTGAGCTGATTAACACAAGCCATCTGCAGACAGCAAAGTTGAAAGAGCACACTGTAACACAACCCGGTTGGGCTTCAGTAGTTACAGACACCCCTAGATGCTGCTGTGGTGCCAGAGCCTAAAAAGCACTCCCCATGGCCTCTGTACCTGCCTGTCAGCATGCTCCCACTTGCGGTTTGAGCAGTGAAGCACCAAGGAAGTGAGCCACACCCCTGTCACACATCCTGAGAGGGATAAGGGAACACACCCATTTCATTATTATTGGGGGACTGTGAAGCTAAGGCTTTCCTACCCAGATCTGGAATAGCATTGAAGAATAATAGAAAGGAGAATATAGATATCAGGATAGTTTTAGGTGGAGGAAGAGAGACCAAGTCTCTAACAGCCAGAGCCTAGAAGAACTGTACAGATGAGACTCCCCAGAAATAAACCCAGCACACTGTAGAGTTTAGGAGAACAGACTTTGGAATTAGACTTTCTGTTTACTCCAGCTGTGTCACTTATTGGCCTTATGATATTGGACACATTAATAAACATCTCTGTTCCTCCATGACTTTATCTGTTAAATGGAGATGAATTACAATTGTACTAAACTCATTGTATTGTTATAGGAACTAAATTAATTAATGTTTTCATATGATTATAGTGTCTGCCATACAATAAATAATTTATTATTATATGATGATGAAAATCATTTGAAACTACAGCTTACTTTTCCATTTTTTAGATCCACAATAGAAAAAAATTGGGGGGATTCCATTCCAAGATGGCCAAAATGGAACAGCTATGGTCTGCAGCTCCCAGCATGATCGATCCAGAAGATGGGTGATTTCTGCATTTCCAACTGAACTACCTGGTTCATCTCATTGGGACTTGTTGGACAGTGGATGCAGCCCATGGAGGGTGAGCCAAAGCAGGGCAGGTCATTGCCTCACCTGGGAAGCACAAGAGGTTGGGGGATTTCCCTTTCCTAGCCAAGGGAAGCCATGACATTGTACCTGGAAATACAGGACACTCCCTCCCAAATACTGCACTTTTCCTATGGTCTTAGCAAGCGGCATGCCAGGAGGTTATATCCTATGCCTGGCTCAGCAGGACCCACACCCACAAAGCCTTGATCACTGCTAGCTCAGCAGTCTGAGATCGACCTGTGAGGCAGCAGCCTTGCTGGGGGAGGGGTGTCTGCCATTGCTAAGGCGTGAGTAGGTAAACAAAGCAGCTGGGAAAGCTTGAACTGGGTGGAGCCCACTGCAGCTCAGCATGGCCTGCTGTCTCTGTAGTCTCCACCTCTCAGGGCAGGGCATAGCTGAATAAAAGGCAGCAGAAACTTCTGCAGACTTAAACGTCTCTGTCTGACAGCTCTGAAGAGAGCAGTGGTTCTCAAAGAACAGTGTTTGAGGTCTGAGAATGAACAGACTGCTGCCTCAAGTGGGTCCCTGATCCCTATGTAGCCTAACTGGGAGACACTTCCCAGTAGGGGCCGACTGACACCTCATAAAGGTGGGTGCCCCTCGGGATGAAGCTTCCAGAGGAAGGATCAGGCAGCAATATTTGCTGTTCTGCAGCCTCCGCTGGTGATACCCAGGCAAACAGGGTCTGAAGTGGACCTCCAGTAAACTCCAACAGACCTGCAGCTTAGGGACTTGACTGTTAGGAGGAAAACTAACAAACAGAAAGGAATAGCATCAACATCAGCAAAAAGGACATCCACACCAAAACCCCATCTGTAGGTCACAAAAATCAAAGACCAAAGGTAGATAAAACCACAAAGATAAGAGAAACCAGAGCAGAAAAGCTGAAAATTGTAAAAACCAGAGCGCCTCTTCTTCTCCAAAGAATTGCAGCTCCTCGCCAACAATGGAACAAAGCTGGATGGAGAATGACTTTGATGAGCTGACAGAAGTAGACTTCAGAAGGTTGGTAATAACAAACTTCTCCAAGCTAAACAAGGATGCTTGAACCCATGGCAAGGAAGCTAAAGACATTGAAAAAAGATTAGATGAATGGATAACTAGAATAAACAGTATAGAGAAGACCTCAAATGACCTGATGGAGCTGAAAACCATGGCACAAGAACTACCTGATGCATGTACAAGCTTCAATAGCTGATTCGATCAAGTGGAAGAAAGGGTATCAGTGATTGAAGATCAAATGAATGAAATAAAGTGAGAAGAGAGGTTTAGAGGAAAAAAAGAGCAAAAAGAAATGAACAAAGCCTCCAAAAAATATGGAACTATGTGAAAAGACCAAATATATGTTTGATTGGTGTACCTGAAAGGGACGGGGAGAATGGAACCAACTTGGAAAACACTCTTCAGGATATTATCCAGGAGAACTTCCACAACCTAGCAAGGCAGGCCAACATTCAGATGGTGCTAGGAAAACTCCTAGCCATAAGGAGAAAGCTGAAACTGGATCCCTTCCTTACAGCTTATACAAAAATTAATTCAAGATGGATTAAAGACTTAAATGTTAGACCTAAAACTATAAAAACCCAAAAGAAAACCTAGGCAATACCATTCAGGACATAGGCATGGGCAAAAATTGCATGACTAAAACACCAAAAGCAATGGCAACAAAGCCAAAATTGAATAACGGGATCTAATTAAACTAAAGAACTTCTGCACAGCAAAAGAAACTACCATGAGAGTGAACAGGCAACCTATAGAATGGGAGAAAATTTTTGCAATCTACCCATCTGACAAAGGGCTAATATCAAAAATCTACAAATAACTTAAACAAATTTACAAGAAAAAATCAAACAACCTCACCAAAAATTGGGCAAAGGATATGAACAGACACTTCTCAAAAGAAGACATTTATGCAGCCAAAAGACACATGAAAAAATGCTCATCATCACTGGTCATCAGAGAAATGCAAGTCAAAACCACAATGGGATACCATCTCACACCAGTTAGAATGGCGATCATTAAAAAGTCAGGAAACAACAGATGCTGGAGAGGATGTCAAGAAATAGGTATGCTTTTACACTGTTGGTGGGAGTGTAAACTAGTTCCACCATTGTGGAAGACAGTGTGGTGATTCCTCAAGGATCTAGAACTAGAAATACCGTTTGACCCAGTGATCCATTACTGGGTATATACCCAAAGGATTATAAATCATGCTACTATAAAGACACATGCACACGTATGTTTATTGTGGCACTATTCACAATAGCAAAGACTTGGAACCAACCCAAATGTCCAACAATGATAGACTGGATTAAGAAAATGTGGCACATATACACCATGGAATACTGTACAGCCATAAAAAAGGATGAGTGCATGTTCTTTGCAGGGACATGGATGAAGCTGGAAACCATCATTCTGAGCAAACTATTACAAGGACAGAAAAGCAAACATTGCATGTTCTCACTTATAGGTGGGAATTGAACAATGAGAACACTTGGACACAGGGTGAGGAACATCACACCCTGGGGCCTGTCATGGGGTGGGGGATGGGGGAGGGATATCACTAGGAGAAATACCTAATGTAAATGACAAGTTAATGGGTGCAGCAAACCTACATGGCACATGTATACCTAAGTAACAAACCTGCACGTTGTACAAATGTACTCTAGAATTTAAAGTATAATAAAAAAAAAGATCCACCATAATTTATTCACACCCTCCAGTAAAATTTTTGTTTCAAGTCTATTATGAACAATCATAAAATAAGCATTTATATATAGTAAGTAATATATACACTCAATGATATCCATGAATACTCAAGAAGTGAAACTGTTTGAAGGACTGAGGTGTTCATATACATTTCTATGAATATTGTCACATTGGCCTTAAAAGAGAATAAATAAATTCACGTGCTCCTTTATGCCCACATTCATTCATTAATTCATTAAGTAGTCATTCATTCATTAAATATTTATTGAGCCAGTATCTTCTAAACAGTGTTTCAGGTGGCTGGTATTCATTAGTGAGCCAAATAAAGTTCTCTTCTCATATGAAATATGTATTTTAGGGAAGAAATACAAACAATAAAAATAAATGCAGAGAATTAGCAAAGTTGTTAGCAACTTCTACTTTCCAGTCAGATTGCCCTTGTCCAATTGTTGGCTCTGACACTTAAAAAGCTGTGTGACCTTGAACAAGATGCTTAACAGATCATCAGTGCAATTGTTTGGTTGTTCAAATGGGTATAATAATAGTATGGTAGGCTAAATAATGTCTGGACATGAAGAGATTACACTGGTGGGTTTCATGTAATCACAAGGGTCTTTACATAAGGGAGAGAGAATAAGAGTAGTAGGAGTAGGAGATGTAACAAAAGAAGCAAGTGTTTGGAGTGAAAGAAAAAGGAGTTCATGAGCCAAGGAATGCAGGCAGCCTTTAGGAGCTGAAATAGGCAGGAAAACAGATTATCCACTACAGTCTCCAGGAGGAAACAGACTAGACAACTTTTTTATTTATCTCACCCATGGGTGTTTGTCAACACCTCTACTAACACTACATTAATACATTTTCATTTCCCAATGAAGAATGTTTAAAATGTATAATGTGTAATTTCCATCTGTATCTTTCCATTAATGTAATACCCATTTCCACTTTCTCTTCTATTAACTCTCTGAATTATTTGCCTATGTTTCTATCACCTTAGAGGTTTTGCTGGCATATTACTTGGTAGGAAAATAGCAAGTTTTAATACAAGATGTGTGATATGAGCCCAATATTGTAAATAAACATTTAACCCTATATGTATGTGTGCATAAGTTATACATATATATATTATGTGTGAATGCACATAATGTACACACACATGCATAGATGTACATGTACATCTGTACCCATATATTATCTTTAAATGTATTCCAAATTGTAAGTAGCTTGTTCTAGGAGATGAGCTGTGAAAAGCATAATCAATTATGTTACTTCTTATTTCTTACATTTCAAGTAGAAGACAGGAAGAGTGGTGAACATAATTTAACATAAGATACTTAGTTGTCTATGCTTTGGAGATGACATGAGGCTAATTATATTAGGACAATAGCATAAAATTATCATCCCACTAATGTTAAAACTAAAACAATATAGGAGAAGCTGAAAAAGATTAAACCCTGGTAATTCTTCTTAGAAATTTTGTTCAGCCAGGTGCAGTGGCTCACGCCTGTAAGCCCAGCAGTTTGGGAGGCTGAGGTGGGTGGATCACTTGAGGTCAGGAGTTCAAGACTAGCCTGGCCCACATAGTGAAACCCTGTCTCTACTAAAAATACAAAAATTAGCCTGGTGTGGTGGTAGGCACCTGTAATCCCAGCTACTTGGGGGGCTGAGGCAGGAGAACCACTTGAATCCAGGAGGTGGAGATTGCAGTGAGCCGAGATCGCACCATTGCACTCCAGCCTGGGGAACAAAAGTGGGACTCCATTTCAAAAAAAAAAGAAAAAAGAAAAGAAATTTTGTTCATGTTTGAAGAGAGAAGCATGACAAAACACATGAGCAGCAATATGAAAGCATATATTTATACTTCATTACTTCATTCTAAGTTGGAAACATGAAGTAATAAAAGTAACCTGATTCTTTATTTAGAGATAAAGTAATGACACTTTAAAGTAACATTAGACCAGGCACAGTGTCTCACTCCTGTAATCCCAGCACTTTGGGAGGCTGAGGCAGGCAGATCAGGAGGTCAGCAGATTGAGATCATCCTGGCTAACATGGTGAAACCCTGTCTGTACTAAAAATACAAAAAAATTAGCCAGGCATGGTGGCACGTGTCTGTAATCCCAGCTACTCAGGAGGCTGAGGCAGGAGAATCTCTTGAGCCTGGGAGGCGAAGGTTACAGTGAGCCGAGATTGCACCACTGCACTCCAGCCTGGGAGACAGAGTGAGACATTGTCTCAAAAAAAAAAAAAAAAGGAACACCAATGTGGAACATTTAATATCCATTCCTCCCAATACCTGATCCTCTGAATATTTCCCTAGAGGTTGGAGCTGCTCCTGGACACAGTTTCTCACTTTCAAATCCAATCCTCATGTAACTCTAAATTTTGGTAATGCTCAGCCAAAATAGCTTCCCTACCATCTTCACCTTTGTCCTTTCTGTCCTTATCGTTTTGAGAACCAGCATGGCCTCCTGGAACTCTATTTTCTTTAATTTGTCACCTGCATTATGCACAAAGGAAGGAAGGTCTAATAACCTGACTCAGCAAATAATAATGCTTTTTGTTTAGAACATGCAGAGAAGAAATGCCTTTGAATTATAATACACAAATCATCTTTCTCTATTTAATAATAATATGTTAATAACTCAACATTAGACAAGTATCAGCATTATGTGGCACTCAATGTAACTATTATAGAGTATGGGGAATAGCAGATATATTTGCACAGTGAAACTTTTTTAATGGAGGCTGAATGTTCACTAGATCTTGGGGGAAGGGAAAATGTGAGATGACGGGTCAGAAGAAGCATCACAGATAGTGAAATTTGGACCAGAGGAAAGAGAGCTGCAGGGACAGCACAGGAGCAGCCAGACCATCTGTGCTTCTTCAGACAGGAATGAAGCACAGCTGATAGAAGGGCGGGACAGAAGCAAATCCATTGACAACAGGAGTTGTGTCAAGGTCCTTTGGGTCAATCAGAGATTTCAGGTTAAAGTTCTGTAAAATGAAGGTCAGGAATAAAAACAGCTCCATGCGGGCCAGGCCCTCTCCCACACAAATCCGTTTTCCTGAAAATAACAAACATAGGGAGAAGTTACTCCTCATGTGTAACTGTGAGAGTGACAAACACTGTCTCTATAACTGGCACAGACAGAATATGCAAGAACTGTTCGGTGAATCATAGGAGGGATGAGTAGATAGATGGGTGGTTGGGTGAATGCATGAATGAAAGGATGGATGGGTGGAAGGATTAATGGATGAATGGATGGATAGGCAACTAAACAATGAATGGACATGCTTACTCTTCACCTATCTTCAGATCTTATCAAGCACCATGTATTCAACAAATGTTTATTGACTGTCAGCTACATGCCAAGCAATTCATTAAAATCTTTCTTGAGAAACATACATTACCTGTCCAGTGGGTTGAACTGAGAAGGGCTTAGGGGAGGAGGCTCACATTCGGCATTTCCCTTTGTATTTCTGGCTCAGTATGCAGCCAAAGATTTTTTTCCCGCTAAGTATTTTCAGAATCACATGTCTAAACATGTTACCCCCTCACTTTAAAACTTTAAATGGCTTCCCTGTCTGTCCTATGGGATAAGATCCAAATAGCTTGACCTGGACCCTCACATTCTGTTTCCAGTCTGATGATCCGTATCACATTTTACACTCTTCACCTCCCCTACTCTCAACTCTAGGCATAGCCACTCATCATCAGTCCCCAACACACTAGGTTTCAAGTTTTATATCATGCTTCTCCTTTTGAACAAGATGAACTTTTCTATTACCACAGTCAGGACATAGGTCAAATTTTATCTCCTTTTTTACTCTCTTTCTCATCTCACTGAGCAAGAAAATGTTCGTTTCCCTGGGATTCCTCAACATCATGTTCATGCTTCCATTGAAAAATGTGCTATGGTCTGAATATTCCTCCCCCCATTTCATATGTTGAAACATAATACCCAGTGCAACATTACTAAAGTGATGAGGCCTTGTAGGCAGTGAATAAGTCAGGAGGGCTCTGTCCTTGCTAAAATAATAACACCAAGAGATGCAAGGGAGCCATTTCTCCCCTTTTGCTTTTTTTGTGCTTCTGCCACATGAGGATACAGAGGGGGTATTATCAATAAGGAACAGGCCCTCACCAGACAGTGAACTTGCTGACACCTCAATCTTGGAATTCACAGCCTTCAGAACTGTGAGAAATAAATTTCTGTTATTTATCAGTTGCCTAGTCTTGGGTATTTTGATATGGCAGAAGAAACAGACAGCATGTGTCACCTAGAATCATAATTTCTTATTTCTTATTTATTTATTTATTTATTTATTTATTTATTTATTTATTTATTTATTTGTGTGCTGGTATGCTTTGTCTCTGTGTCCTTACCCAAATCTCATGTCAAATTCTAATTCCCAGTGTTGGGGGAGATACCTGGTAGAAGGTGATTGCATCATAGGGGATGATTTCTCACTTGCTGTTCTCATGATAGTGAGTGAGTTCTCATGAGATCTGGTTGTTTAAAAGTGTGTAGCCTTTCCTCTTTGCTCTCTCTCTCCTGCTCTTCCATGAAAATATATGCTTGCTTCCTCTTTGCCTTCTACCATGACTGCAAGTTTCCTGAGTCCTCCCAGCCATTCTTCCTGTACAGCCTGTGGAACTGTGAGTCAAATAACCTCTTTTCTTCATAAATTACCCAGTCTCAGGTGGTTCTTTATAGCAATGAAAGAATGGACTGATACATGTGCTAAATGTGAATGCTTGAAGGAAGGTTTCTTTCCTTGTTATCTTGGTATCTACAGTGCCACATATAAAGCAGACATCAAAGGTCACAGAAAAAGGAAGGAGATTCTATCACCAGATGCTCAGCACACACATTTCACGTGTGGAGATCAAACATCCAAAAAACATTGCCATGACTAGGGAAAGAGCATGGTGCTCTGCATCACTGCAGAGTATCCTGCTACATTCTTAATGTCCCCCTGATCCCATCCATGGTTATTTGGCAAAGGTTTTAATATCCTTTATTTAGAGCCAATATCCTGCTCCTGTGGCTCATTATCTCCTTTAATAGCCCTGCCTTCTCTTCTTTTCATCCTCTCTGACTCCTTTGATGTAGCTTAAATGTCTTTACTGCTATTAGTTACTTATGTCTCATTTTGGGTTATAAGATAACAAGAAGCAGACAGCTTTTCCATCTACCTCCCAACCCACAACAGCCTGTTCTTTTCTATATCACAGCCTCAGTCCTATTGAACTACAATGATCTGTTTACTCTGCTTTCCAAACACAGAAGTGAGCCTCTTAAGACCCTATTCTGTGTTTGAGGATAATTTTATCCTACAAGCCCAGCCTAGGGGGTGAGGGACACCATGTGGAAGACACTCAGTGAAGTTCTGGAGTGAGATAACTTCCTCATGGCTAGTGAGGAAAATGTAATTAGTTTTATCTTCCAGGAGGAGTTCTTGAGTACCTCAGTGGTGTATCTAGAGGCAGAATTCAACCAACCTATACTTCAGCTTTCTCAATTTGGAAGAATTGGATTAATTCTCCAAAACCCACTAATCTGGCCGAATAATGAGGATGTATCACCAGCGGAGAAAACACAGGCATTCAGAACAGTGCTCTTGATCATGTACAAAGAGTAACTGTACCACTGCAGAGAAGGCACATGTAAGTTCCAACTGATCAAAAAAGTTATCTTGTACCCTGAAACACAAAGGGAAATAAATTTATATTACCTGCTGAGAAAGGCATGAAGTAGTTACTTTTCTTAAAATTTCCACCTTCATCCAGAAAGTGACGAGGGTCAAACATCTCTGGGTTGGGAAATTCTTTGTTGTCATGTAGCACAGAAGTGAGGGAAGTTAATATGGTTGTGCCCTAGAAACAAGAGACATAGGTGAACTGAGCTGTAAAGAAGTCACGAAGGTTTAAGAAACAGTGGTAATCATGCAGTTAAATCTTTTGATGTACAGATGATGAAACACCATTCCAAAGAAGAGCAGTACCATTTCCAGACAGATAGACGAAGTAATAAGAGGCATGAGCTTAAGGCCAGTGACAATAATCTTGCTAAAATGCCCACAATCAGGAATTGAACAATGAGAACACATGGACACAGGAAGGGGAACATCACACTTCGGGGACTGTTGTGGGGTGGGGGGAGGGGGGAGGGATAGCATTAGGAGATATACCTAATGCTAAATGATGAGTTAATGGGTGCAGCACACCAATATGGCACATGTATACATATGTAACAAACCTGCACATTGTGCACATGTACCCTAAAACTTAAAGTATAATGATAATAAAATTTAAAAAAAATCCCAAAGTCCTATAGGATTTCTTGATTCTTTTCTTTTTTTTTCTCTTTGTACTCTTCTGACCAGCTAATTTAAAATGAACTTGCTTTTGAATTTCCTGTTTCTTCTTCTTAATAAAATCTGCTGATGAAAAAAATAAATAAATAAATAAATAAAATGCCCACAACCACATTTGAAGTACTGAGTACTTGCGTACTTGGGTGCAACCTTCTGAATCTGTCCTTTTCATCAAGCTTGGGCTTTAGTGCCTGTCCACTCCTGCTGCTCTATTTCATCACTTCAGTTTTCACAAATCTTATGTGTAGACTATGACTTAAAGGCACAAGACAGGGATGTTCTCTCTCACCACTCCTATTCAACATAGTGTTGGAAGTTCTGGACAGGGCTATCAGGCAGGAGAAGGGAATAAAGGGCATTCAATTAGGAAAAGATGAAGTCTAATTGTCCCTGTTTGCAGATGACATGATTGTACATCTAGACAACCCCATCGTCTCAGCCCAAAATCTCCTTAAGCTGATAAACAACTTCAGCAAAGTCTCAGGATACAAAATCAATGGACAAAAATCACAAGCATTCTTATACACCAATAACAGACAAACAGAGAGCCAAATCATGAGTGAACTTCCATTCACAATTGCTTCAAAGAGAATAAAATACCTAGGAATCCAACTTACAAGGGACGTGAAGGATCTCTTTAAGGAGAACTACAAACCACTGCTCAATGAAATAAAAGAGGATACAAACAAATGGAAGAACATTCCATGCTCATAGGTAGGAAGAATCAATATTGTGAAAATGGCCATACTGCCCAAGGTAATTTATAGATTCAATGCCATCCCCATCAAGCTACCAATGACTTTCTTCACAGAATTGGAAAAACTACTTTAAAGTTCATATGGAACCAAAAAAGAGCCTGCATTGCCAAGTCAATCCTAAGCCAAAAGAACAAAGCTGGAGGCATCACACTACCTGACTTCAAACTATACTACAAGGCTACAGTAACCAAAACAGCATGGTACTGGTACCAAAACAGAGATGTAGACCAATGGAACAGAACAGAGCCAACAGAAATAATACCACACATCTACAATGATCTGATCTTTGACAAACTTGACAAAAACAAGAAATGGGGAAAGGATTCCCTATTTAATAAATGGTGCTGGGAAAACTGACTAGCCGTATGTAGAAATCTGAAACTGGATCCCTTCTTTACACCTTATACAAAAATTAATTCAAGATGGATCAAAGACTTAAATGTTAGACCTAAAACCATAAAAATCCTAGAAGAAAACCTAGGCAATACCACTCAGGACATAGGCATGGGCAAGGACTTCATGTCTAAAACACCAAAAGCAATGGCAACAAAAGCCAAAATTGACAAATGGGATCTAATAAAACTAAAGAGCTTCTGCACAGCAAAAGAAACCACCATCAGAGTGAATAGGCAACCTACAGAATGGGAGAAAATTTTTGCAATCTACTCATCTGACGAAGGGCTAATATCCAGAATCTACAATGAACTCCAACAAATTTACAAGAAAAAAACAAACAACCGCATCAAAAAGTGGGTGAAGGATATGAACAGACACTTCTGAAAAGAAGACATTTATGCAGCCAAAAGCACTTGAAAAAATGCTCATCATCACTGGCCATCACAAAAATGCAAATCACAACCACAATGAGATACCATCTCACACCAGTTAGAATGGCGATCATTAAAAAGTCAGGAAACAACAGGTGCAGGAGAGGATGTGGAGAAATAGGAACAGTTTTACACTGTTGGTGGGACTGTAAACTAGTTCAACCATTGTGGAAGTCAGTGTGGTGATTCCTCAGGGGTCTAGAACTAGAAATACCGCTTGACCCAGCCATCCCATTACTGGGTATATACCCAAAGGATTATAAATCATGCTACTATAAAGACACATGCACACGTATATTTATTGCAGCACTACTCACAATAGCAACGACTTGGAATCAACCCAAATATCCAACAATGATAGACTGGATTAAGAAAATATGGCACATATACACCATGGAATACTACACAGCCATAAAAAATGATGAGTTCATGTCCTTTGTAGGGACATGGATGAAGCTGGAAACCATCATTCTCAGCAAACTATCACAAGGACAAAAAACCAAACACCGCATATTCTCACTCATAGGTGGGAATTGAACAATGAGAACACATGGACACAGGAAGGGGAACATCACACACCAGGGACTGTTTTGGGGTGGAGGGAGGGAGGAGGGTTAGCATTAGGAGATATACCTAATGCTAAATGACAAGTTAATGGGTGCAGCACACCGACATGGCACATGTATACATTTGTAACTAACCTGCACGTTGTGCACATGTACCCTAAAACTTACAGTATAATAATAAAAATAAATAAATAAATAAATAAAATAAAGTTGAAGTCTCTGTTGACATGGGAAATGGCCAGAGTGTCTATTCACAGGGCATTTGTGAATAAACATATGATTGAGCTTCAAACGACGTCTTCTAGAATGGTAACAAGTATAGTCACAAGTATAAAACTATTGAATGTTTGTCATTGCCATGTAGTTTGTTTGTTATCATTTAAAGATACGGGAGAGATATTCATTACAGATTAATCATAGCTTAAAAATACAGAAAGATAGCATTAGGAGATATACCTAATGCTAAATGACGAGTTAATGGGTGCAGCACACCAGCATGGCACATGTATACATATGTAACTAACCTGCACATTGTGCACATGTACCCTAAAACTTAAAGTATAAAAATAATAAAATAAATAAATAAATAAATAGATTCTAATAGTTTAAAAAATACAGAAGGAATAATGAAATTAGAAAAAAATCATCTTTTGTAACCATTCAGGTCAAGATCATCAGGCCAGGCAAGGATCATCAATGAAAGATAAAACTATTGGATGTGTGACTTTGGAAACAGGGTGTTCTGTCTTAAAGTGTCATGCCATAGATTTTCATCATTTACACATAAAAGCAGAACTCCTTCAATGGAGAGATCTGGCAGATTCCAACTTATTAGGTCAGGATCTTAGCATAACCAGTAATAGCATATGTAACATTATGTGCCTCTGCCTCACCACTGTGATTCAGTGGAATAGTCAAAGTACTATGTAGTTTTCTTGCCAAAGTCATAACTGGAATATAATATCTAGAAAACAATTATACAAAACAAGCCCGAAGAAAATTTAAATGACTAAAGGCCTCAACTCTTCACAGAGATCAACATACTGAAAGGAAACAGAGGAAATGAACTGTTCTTGATTACAGGAGATAAAAATGACAACATACCCGAATTATGTGCCTGTTTCTTGACTGGAGAGTGAATTGAAAGAAAAAAGTAATTAAAATGTTCCTTAAGAATTGGGAAATTTTAAATATAAGCTGTACAGTAAATAATATTATTGTATCAATAACTCCATACTATGAATGCTATTATTATTATATAGGAGAAAACCATTGTTATTGGGCTACATATACTGCAGTATTGAGGTCTAGATAGATGGATAGACAGATATCAAAGTAGATATATATACACACTGCCATATGTACATATAGATATATGTGTGTAATGTTATTTATTCTTAAAAATTTTATAATACAAAGGTGATGAAAAATTCTACCCACTAAGTTTTCATATAAATAGTCTACAATTTTGTTTTAAAAAATATTCCCTTGAATATTTATAAATAAGTACTATATTAAAATGTTTTTAAGATACCAAAGCAGATTTATTTCAACAAATGTTACTTGAATAAATAGAAATTTATAGACATTGAAGCACGACCATTATTACTCCATACTACAAATAAAAATTAATTTGAAACATGTCATTGATGTAAATATAAGAGCTAAAACAAAAAAATTATGGGAAAGTTAAAACTCAGTCTTTGGAATCTTGTGCTGACAAATATTCTTTAAATAGGACACAAATCAATCGAGCATCTTTGCAGAAAATTCTACTGGACAGGAAAGTCTTATATTGGGCATCAATAAACAATACTCTCTGCACAAGTCCATCCTGCCACCTGTTTTTGTATAGTATGTGAGCTAAAAGTATTTACATTGAACAAATGCAAATAAATAATATTTTTGAAACAAAAATTTATGGGAAATTTACATTTGTTTCTATAAAAATTGGAAGATATTCATTTGTACATTGTCTATGACTGCTTTCATGCTACAATAGCAGATGTCAAGGATTGCAACAGAAACATCATGGCCTAAAAAGTCTAAAATATTTACTATCTGGCCCATTACAGGAACAGTTTGCCAACTCCTCTCTCAGACTATTATCTCCACCTAGATAAGTGGATCCAGCCTGTAGCAGAAGAACACATTTGCCTGATTTGTAAAGAGGGTAGAATTGGCCACGCAGTGCTGCACTTTTCTATAGGCTGTTCCATGAAGAAGGGATTCAGTGGGTGATTTCCTTGCGCTCTGGGTTCTCAGGGCTCAAAAGACACCAGGCATAGCATGAGCTGCCCTGCAGGTGGGTGAATGAAGAAGCTCATCAGATGCAGCATTCCCCTTCAACAGGTCACCAAAGCTGATGCAGTGGATTGGGAGACTGGCGACTCATCCTGATTCTTCAGTATATTTCTCATTAATTAGTTATAGGAGAAGAAATAAGTTTCATTACTATTACCCTCAGACCCTAATTTTGAGAAGCGAAAGCCTTCTCCTGGTTATCTCCTGTGTTTGTGAAAACAGAGTGCATTGAAGTCTTAACTCTTGTACTAAATCAGTGACCTCAGGGTAAGCCCCATAATCTCTTGGTAAATTAACAATTCTGTCTTCTTCAAAAAGTGACATTAGTAATTTCAACCTTACCAATCTCATTGATTTTTCCCCTTGAAAATATAACTTTAGGTTATATTATTTTTAATTTTACTAATAATATGTCTTGGTTTAAATTGGAAAAGAGCAGGTTTGAGATGGCAACTAGAGTGTCTGGATGAATACAGAAACCATGTGATAGAAGGCAATTGTAAAGCTGCCAAGACAAAAATTGGTCTCAAGATTCCAGAGGTAGGAGAACCTCAGAGAGCTAAGCTAACACTGACAGTCAATTTTCGACTGGGTTCACATTATGTACAATTCTGAATCATGACAACATGTGTTATGTCATTATGACTGCCGATGGGAGAGGAATGAATCTTTCTTTGAAGAATATAAACATCCTCTGAAATTCTGCACTTTCTTACACATAACATCTGGTATTTAACCAAAAGTTATTAGGCATTTCAAAGATACAACTAAGTGATCACAAGAAGAAAAGTGGAGACGGGGAGGCAGTAAAAACAGACTCACATTAGGAAACATTTCTCACTTAGTTTTATAAGGCTGGCCTAATCTTGATATCAAAAATCTTGAAAATTCTGAGAAAGAAAATTACAAACTAAATCCTTGTGAATGTAAACACAGAAGCCCTAAACAATATGAAGAATATAAATTCATCTCTATGTGCATACTTATTTCTATTTATATTTATTTCTATATATATGTGAGGGCAAACTTCCCTAATCTGATAAAGAATTTCTACCAAAATCTACTTCTAGCATCATTTTCAATATTGAAATGTAAAACTTCCACTGCTTCCTGCAGATTAGAAATGAGAAACAAGGATGCCCACTATCAGCAATTCTATTCAACACTCTCCTAGAAATTCTAGCCAATGCAATAATGAATGCAATAAAGAGAAATTAAGCCCACAAGAATTGGAAAGTAAGAAATAAAACAATATTAACACAGATACAGTGTACTGTTCACAGAAATTCCAATGAATCTAGAGATAAATTATGAATAGTGATTAGTAAATTTAGCAAAGTTGATAGATTAAGGTCATCAGAATGATAAAAACTAATTATGTTTCAACATACCAAGTACAAAGAAATCAAAAGGCATTTTGTAAGTTTATAACAACAACAAAAATATTAATTATCTAGGAAAAACCAAAGACTTGCAAGCCATGACAACAAAATCACAACATTCCTGGGAAAATAAAGAAAGTGCAAATAAATTGGAAGCATAATTATATTCACAAACAGAAAGACTCAAGGTGTCAAGATGTCAGTTCTTTCCAAACTGACCTATAAATTTAATGTCACCCTGACAGAAATTCTAGCCCAATGTTTTGGGAAATTGAAAAATTAACACCTTCAAAATTTGTCTGGAAATATAACCACTTAAGAGTAGCCAGAACAATCTTGAAGAAAGAATAAATCTGAAAAACACACACTGTGAGACACTAAGACCTGTTACAAATCTTTATAGTCCCAAACTGGAATCAACAGAAAGTCCAATTAAACTGCCATACATAGGAGTAATGCACTTCTCTCACCCAGTGATGGTAGAGGGTAAGAATCATACTGTGAATTTGAGGAATAAAAGAACATGGAGTTGCAGTGTAGGAGAAACAAACTTACCTTGGGAATGAGGTAGTTTCTGAATTTAACGTCACAGGTCACTGCATGGGGCAGGCTGGTGGGGATGAGGTCGATGTATCTCTGGACCTCGTGCACCACAGCATCTGTGTAGGGCATGTGGCCCCTGTCCTGCATGCAGGGGCTCCGGTTTCTGCCAATGACACGTTCAATCTCTTCCTGGACTTTAGCTGACAAGACACAAGTAAGAACTGATGGAAAAGGAGAGAAATGGAACATTTGTTCTAGCAATTCAGGGGTACATGAATCATGATGAAGGTATCCAAACATCATAATAAATTTAAATTATAGTGCTGGAAGTATGTGTAACTTAAAGAGAGGACTGCTACAGATGCACAAATGTGTAACTGTGCCTTAAGCTAGGCATTAAGAAAAATCTGTACACATATATGCAGAGAAAATTATTATCAATAAAGGAAGGCAGGAAGAAATGAAAGAAGGAAGAGAAGCCCACAAAACAACCAGTAAACAAATAACAAAAAGGCAGAAGTAAGTCCTTACTTAATAATAACACTGAATGTAAATGGACTAAAATTTCCAATCAAAAGACAAACTGACTAGATGAAGAAACAAGACCTATTAATCTGTTGCCTAAAAAAAAAAAAAAAAAAAACTTCACTTAAAAAAACACACATAGACTGAAAGTAAAGGAATGGAATGAGACAGTACATTCCAAAGGAAATAAAAAAAAGAGGAAGAGTTATTATATTTAAAGCAGACAAAATAGATTTCAAGACGAAAACTGTAAGAAGAGACAAAGAATATGACAATTGATGATAAAGCAGTCAGCTTGGCAAGAGGATGGAACAATTTTAAGTATATATGCAACCAAAAATGGAGCACCCAGATATGTAAAAGAAACATAATTAGAACTAGAGAGAGATAGGCCCCAATACAATAATAGCTGGAGACTTCAACAACCCACTTCAGCATTGGACAGGTCATCCAGATAGAAAATCAACAAGGAGATATTGAACTTCATCTGCACTATAGACCAAATGGGTCTAATAGATATTTGCAGAATATTTCATCCAACTGCTACAGATACACATTCTTTTCCACAGCACATGGATTGTTATCAAGAATTGACCAGATATTAGGTCACAGAACAAGTCTTAAAACACTCAAAGAAACTGAAATAATATCAAGCATCTTCTCTGACCACCAAGTAATAAAACTAGCCATCAGTAACACAAGGAATTTTGGAAACTACACAAGTAAATGGAAATTAAACAATATGCTCATGAATGGCCAGTGGGTCCATGAAGAGATTAAAAAGGAAATTCAGAAATTTCTTGAAACAAATGATAATGGAAACATAACATACCAAAACCTAGGGGCTACTGCAAAACCAGTACTAAGAGGAAAGTTTATAGCTCTAAGAGCTTACATCAAAAATGGAGAAAATTTTCAAATAAACAATCTAATGATGAATCCTAAAGAATTAGATAAGCAAGAGCAAATGAAAACCAAAGGGCAACCCCCTTTGGGTCCCCTCCCTTTGTATGGGAGCTCTGTTTTCACTCTATTAAATCTTGCAACTGCACTCTTCTGGTCTGTGTCTGTTATGGCTGGAGCTGAGCTTTCACTCGCCGTCCACCACTGCTGTTTGCCACCATCGCAAACCCGCTGCAGACTTCCATCCCTCCAGATCTGGCAGGGTGTCTGCTGTGCTCCTGATCCAGTGAGGGTCCCATTGCCATTCCCGATAGGGCTAAAATCTTGCCATTGTTCCTGCATGGCTAAGTGCCTGGGTTTGTCCTAATCAACCTGAACACTAGTTGCCGGGTTCCACGGTTCTCTTCCATGACCCACAGCTTTTAGTAGAGCTATAACACTCACTGCATGGCCCAAGATTCCATTCCTTGGAATTCGTGAGGCCAAGAACCCCAGGTCAGAGAACACGAAGCTTGCCACCATCTTGGAAGTGGCCCACCACCATCTTGGAAGTGGATCACCACCATCTTGGGAGCTCTGTGAGCAAGGACCCCCTTGGTAACATTTTGGTGACAACAAAGGGACATCCAAAGCGGTAATATTGGACCACTTTCACTAGCTGTTCTGTCCTATCCTTCCTTAGAACTGGAGGAAAATACCAGGCACCTGTCGGCCAGTTAAAAATGATTAGCGTGGCCACCAGACTGAAGACTCAGGTGTAAGGTTATCTGGGGAAGGGCTTTCTAACAACCAACCCTTCTATTGGGAATGTTGGTCTGCCTGGAGCCAGCTTCCACTTCCAATTTTCTTGGGGAAGCTGAGGGCTGACTAGAGGCAGAAAGCTGTTGTCCCGAACTCCTGGCAGTAGCCGGTTGAGATCATGGCGCAGCCAGAAGTCTCTACTCACCTGTCACACATGCGTGCGCCCCTACCTTTCCTTCTGACCCATACCTCCTGGGTCCTGACCACGACTTTCTTTAAAGTGTAGCCCCAAAATTCTCCTTACCTCTGAATCTACTTCCTCTGATCCCTGCCTCCTAGGTACTAATGTTTCAGACTTTCATTTCCTCTAGCAAGTTGTATCTCTAAAGGGATCTAAGGAGTCTCTACGCTGCATCCTTAGGCACCTAGGCTATAACCCAGGGAGTCTTATCCCTGGTATCCCTCCTGATTTAGGTATACAGCTCTCGACATGGGCAGTTACGTGGGACCCATTCCCCACCACACTTGCCAGGGCCCCAAGTTTGTAATGGCTAAGAGAGAGAGAGACAGAGAGAGAGACAAAGAGGGAGTCAAAGAGAAAAAGAAAGAAAAAGATAGAAATAGTTAAAAAAAAAAAAAGTGTGCCCCATTCCTTTAAAAGCCAGGGTAAATTTAAAACCTGTAATTGGTAATTGCCACTTTGTTGTCAGTGTAAATAAAGGCGTATTAAATCCTTAACCCAGTAACCCGCGGATGGGCCAAATGCATTCAGTCGGTAGAAACAACTACTTAACTAAAAGTAG